>NC_000003.12:157947998-158251028 GCF_000001405.40 Homo sapiens
GTTTCAGGACAAATTTTAAAGAGGGTTGCTTTATATTCTTATAGAAAAACTCATAGAACTTGCCATACCTGCAGAAAGTATCATATGAAAATATTAGGTTGAACAGGGATTTTGATTTTAGATTGGGAGATAAATCCCTAAACTTTTGAAGCTAATGTCATAGAGGTTTCTATTAAACAACTCTTCATGTCATAAAGTCCTAAACTAAGTTTGAATCCAGGAAAAAAATTTTTTTTAATTATATTTCATGAAAAAAATTGCATCTTTAATAAGGATCCCAAAACATCTCCTCTAATGGAACTGAGTAAATTTAAAGTTGCTACATAACATTTTCTTCCTTCATTTCACAAACATTTATTATATTCTTCTTCTGTGTCAGGTAGCATGCTCAGCTTTGTATAAGGTTTCATAATGCATACAAATGCATCATCTCCCTTGATCCTCCTAACAGCCCTTTGGGACTACTGTTATTATTTCCACTTTACAGTCAAATAAATGGAGGTTTACAGAATTTAAGTGCCTGAGATCAGTAAATAAAAAATGGAGCTCATTCTTATCCCACAATTTTCCCATGGAATTGGATATCTTGCTTAAAACTATGTTAACTACTATGTCCCAAAATAAAATCTTCACCAGATTTTAAGTCACAATAATTTAGATTTTCCATGTTTCTTTCAACCAATCAAAGCCTGAAAGGTTCCATAACAAAACCACAACCCTTTACAGCATGGTTTTGTAAGTTGTCCCTCTCTAAGTGAGACATGTTATTTTGGGCAGTCTCATGTGATGAAAGAGATAATGGGCTCTTTGGGCAGTAATAAAAACAAAATTACTGCTCTAACAGTAAGTAAAACAGAAATCGAAACTTAAAAAAATAGGATTTTCTGATTTCACAGATAAGCCATCAAGAAGCTTTGGGTTTTACATCTCAGTGTTATTTTTCCTGTCACTTAAAATAGTAACATGCCAGTATATGTTTTCTGGGCTCATTTTAACATGTAAACGAACAATTCATATTTTTTCTTGAAAACATAGGCTTTCACATACAGGATGAACAATAGGGAAATATGGGAAGGAGGTGCACCTGAGGGCTATGCTGTCCAGGCCTCCCTGCAGCCCTCCCTGCTCTGCAGCACAAGGAAGCACAGGACAGCAGGTCAGGGAGGGACGAAGGGAGATCTAGCCAGCATTGCCCTCAGGATCCCCCAGGGGAGCTGGGGCTTCATGGTCACATACAGTCAGGAAAGCCTGGGTGTTTGAGGCAGAACGTCCCTGAGATAGTACATTTTTGTTCTTTTGTGTTTTTTGTTTTTTTATTTTGAGGGCGAAGACCCAGGTGGCATTTAACCAACCAACAAAGCCCAAAAGTGAAAATATGAGGAAGACGAGGTCACACCCAGTAGTTCATTCAGTCAGAAAAGTCTGTTTTGGCAAATGTAGCAAACGAATGAGGAGTAAAATGAAACAGACAGCACAGGGAAACCACTAGCAATTCTTGAGCAGAAGGAATTTAAAACTGTGAAAGAGTGCAGATTTTATCCTATTTTCAAGCTAGGAAATTAGTCTGCCGCAGCTTTATGGATGCTGGCAGAAGACACAAGACTCCTAGGTCAGAAACAGAAGACTTTATATCCAGAGTACAGCAAGCAGCATTCACATCAGAATATTTACATCAATTTCCCTTGCTCCCAAGTTCCCAGGGGCAATGTAGATAGACCCTCAGAGGTGTCTGCACATGCATGGGTTACATTATGGGAAGGGAAATCTGAGCTTAGGGAACATGAATCTCTTATAATGGGCAGTAAGCTTGCTGGCTTTTTGCTCTGGAGGAAGGCACTATCCCTGTCTTCCAAGGATGTTCACCATACAAATATATTGAAAAGATAGGAACAAAAGGCAATCAGTGTCTTTCTTGCAAGATATATACAAATGCAAGAGACTCAGGAAGAATTGTGTCTGCCAACAAAGGGCTGCCTCCTGTGTGGTTCTACAACCAGTTCTTCAGCTGTGGTCACTTAAAAGAACAACTGTGACCCAATCATACTGTACTTTCTGAAAAGCTAGGCAAGAAGGAAAGACTCTGTCTTACATTGGGCTCCCTAAAAACAGACATTAAAATGAAGATTCACATGCAAATAATAACTTATTAATGAAATTATCTCAGGACAATCCTGAAAGAAACTGCTATAAGTGAGTCCCTAAAGCTGAGCTATAAACTCATAGACACTTCCAGTCTTTTGAGCTGGCAAACAAAATGACTCCAGTAGTTGAGGGGCAGACTTTCAATGAGCCACAGGTTCAAGTCATCAGATGCAAAAGCATATTGAAGTCAGGGAGAAATACAAGGAAATAATAAAAGAGAGCTAAGGGGGTCTGGGCCAGAGGCCAACAGTGTTTGCTATGAAACAAGAAAGCTCCAGGCAAGTTATTGCTTCAAAAAGCTTACAATTTTCTATATTTTGTTCATTCAGTAATGAGTCCCTACTATGTGCCAACCACAGCACTAGGTGTTAATGGCACAGAGATAAATAACACACAGTCCATTTGCCTAAAGCATTCACAATTCAGTGCGAGAGACAGACAAGTAAACCAACACGTGATATTTTGTTGAGAAAGACAAAAGGGAAGCAAAGAGTGACTGAGAGTCAAAGAAGGCATCACAGAGGGGTTGGCTTCTTAACTAGGTCTGAAAGATGAGTAATAGAACAATGGAACAGAACAAAGCTCTCAGAAATAATACCACACATCTACAACCATCTGATCTTTGACAAACCTGACAAAAACAAGAAATGGGGAAAGGATTCCCTATTTAATAAATGGTGCTGGGAAAACTGGCTAGCCATATGTAGAAAGCTGAAACTGGATCCCTTCCTTACACCTTATACAAAAATTAATTCAAGATGGATAAAAGACTTAAATGTTAGACCTAAACCCATAAAAACCCTAGAAGAAAACCTAGGCAGTACCATTCAGGACATAGGCATGGGCAAGGACTTCATGTCTAAAACACCAAAAGCAATGACAACAAAAGCCAAAATTGACAAATGGGATCTAATAAAACTCAAGAGCATCTGCACAGCAAAAGAAACTACCATCAGAGTGAACTGGCAGCCCACAGAATGGAAGACAATTTTTGCAACCTATTCATCTGACAAAGGGTTAATATCCAGAATCTACAAAGAACTCAAACAAATTTACAAGAAAAAAAAACAACCCCATCAAAAAGTGGGCAAAGGATATGAACAGACACTTCCAAAAAGAAGACATTTATGCAGCCAACAGACAAATGAAAAAATGCTCATCATCGCTGGCCATCAGAGAAATGCAAATCAAAACCACAATGAGATACCATCTCACACCAGTTACAATGGCGATCATTAAAAAGTCAGGAAACAACAGGTGCCAGAGAGGATGTGGAGAAATAGGAACACTTTTACACTGTTGGTGGGATTGTAAACTAGTTCAACCATGGTGGAAGAGTGTGATGATTCCTCAAGGATCTAGAACTAGAAATACCATTTGACCCAGCAATCCCATTACTGGGTATATGCCCAAAGGATTATAAATCATACTGCTATAAAAACACATGCACACGTACGTTTATTGTGGCACTATTCACAATAGCAAAGACTTGGAACCAACCCAAACGTCCATCAATGATAGATTGGATTAAGAAAATGTGGCACATATACACCATGGAATACTATGCAGCCATAAAAAATGATGAGTTCATGTCCTTTGTAGGGACATGGATGAAGCTGGAAACCACCATTCTCAGCAAACTACCGCAAGGACAAAAAACCAAACACCTCATGTTCTCACTCGTAGGTGGGAATTGAACAATGAGAACACTTGGACACAGGAAGGGGAACATCACACACTGGGGCCTGTCATGGGGTGGAGGGAGTGGGGAGGGATAGCATTAGGAGATATACCTAATGTAAATGATGAGTTAATGGGTGCAGCACACCAGCATGGCACATGTATACATATGTAACAAACCTGTACATTGTGCACATGTACTCTAAAACTTAAAGTATAATAATAAAAATAAAAGAGTCCAAGAGCCAGATTATTCTCTCCAGGAGCAGATAAGAGAGGGAATGAAATGCCATCCAAATCCATCTAAAATCCAAAGCACACACATGGCCCCTTTTGGAAGCATGGACAGATAGGTGTGCAGTATAATAGTTAATACTGTGACATACCCTCAACTTCTAATGGGAACACAGGTCTCAGTTCATCCTCAGTTCTGCCATGCAAAAGAGAAAGGCGGCATGAGTTAAGGTCAAGGGTACTTTGGGGCCCTGATAGTAGGGGACAAAGCACTCAATGGAATGTGTGAAGAGGTTAAAAGCTGTTATTGCATTTAATTCTGTTTAAAATGGTAATAATAATGCCATTGTGGGAATCTGTGTCTTGGACATTTCCTTTCCTAAAGTTCTTCCCTGTATTATATTGTTTTTCTCTCCTTCCTTCTTTCTCTTCTTCCTTGAGCTCTGATGGTAACATAGAGACCTCCAAACCTTAAGGTAAAGTGGGAATCAGGAGAACCACGAAAAGGAAACCCCAATACTTCTCTATTGCCCTCAAAGAGGAAAGCTAGACTGGACCATATGGAAATTGCAAAGATTCTTTCTCCTGCTCTGGTTCATGGTTTAAACTAAAATCAGTCTCCTTTGAGTTCTTTCTTTAACTATAAGCTTGAACTCACACTAATCTTAGTTTATTAGTTCACATCCTATGTCAGCCAGGATTCCAGCTGAAAGCAGACAGCACACAGATATGGTAAGTCTTCAGAGATTTGGGGGCAAACAAGGCCACTGTGCCTTTACCCATAATAGATACCAAATTCCAAACAACGCATTATTCAGGCTGTCCCTCAACAAGTATAAAAGTCACAAAGAAAAAATGTCAGAGCCAAAAACCACACACTGCCTAGACCCCAAAGGCCCCACCACATGGCAAATTTTCAGAAGTGCAGAGAAAACACCTTCTCTGACCACAAACTGTACCCTGAATTTCACAATTCCTCCATCCACTGATGTACAACGTGAAGTGTACACCTCAACACAAAGGGTCTTATTAAATATGAATGAACAGATGTTTACAGTCAACATTTTCAACAAACATTTATTGATAACCTAGTATTTTCTCTGTGCTAATTATTTAATATTTAGTGGTCAACAAAAGAGGCATATTACCTGCCCTCAAAGACTTTAGACAAGAGACAAAAAAAGACAAATATATAAATAAAGATATGATAAATTATGATTCGTGTTATGTAGAAAAAGTACAGAATGTTATGAGTGATATTAATCATGGTTGAAAGAAAGTAGTCTACTTCAGATTTAGTGGTCAGGGAAGGCCTTCCTAGCCAAGTCCTGACAGGTCAGTAGGAGCCTACCAGACATTAAGCTAGGAGAAGAACTTGATGCAGAATGAATAGCGTATGCAAAGCATAAAGAAGAAAGAGCTTAGGGTGTAATAGGAATGAATAAAGACCAAGGCATTGTGACAAAAAAAAAAAAAAAAAGACAGCCTAGGTCATATCAGCTGTGATAAAGAGTCAGGGTTCATTCTGATGCAATGTTTTAAGAGAATGGTGATAATTTAATTTGGGTGTGTTTTTTAAAATATATTTCTGGTTTTGGGGCAGAGAATATATTTGAAAGGTGGGAAGAGTAGTATCTTAGTCCATTTTGTATTGCTATAAAGGGATACCTGAGGCTGGGTAATTTATAAAGAAAAGAGGTTTATTTGGCTCGTGGTTCTGCAGGCTGTAGAAGCAGCATGGCATCAGCATTTTTTTCTAGTAAGGGTGTCAGACTCATGGTGAAGTGAGAGGGAGCAGGCACATACAGAGATCACATAGAGAGAGAAGCAAGAAACAGGGAAGAGGTGCCAGACTTTTTAACCACCAGCTCTTGAGGAAACTAATCGAGTAAGAACTCATGCACTCCCCACCAGGGAAAGTATTAATCTGTTCACGAGGGGAACCACCCCCATGACCCAAACATCTCCCATTAGGCCCCACCTCCAACACTGGGAATCAAATTTCAACATCAGATTTTGGAGGGACAAACATCCAAACTGTAGCAAGTAGGCATGAGAGAAGTGGGCTTGAGGGGAAGATAGCTCCACCGTACCCACCGCCCCCCCCCGCCCCCCCCCTCCACACACACACACTGCACTACCATCCAAGTCTAGAGCCATCGAAGACAATTTATCCCTGCTTCATTCACTTGCCTGAGGTTGGTCACACTTGAAGGACTGTAAGACCAGAGGTAGCCCCTTTATTTGTTGTCATTTTCAAGGGTACACTTGGAATCAAACTTGGAGTTAAACACAGAATGCAATGCCAAAGCCACCCATTTAGAAACGAATGAATGAGAGCTGACCAAACAGACACTCCTTTATTATCCGCAAATTAATCTCTGAATATATTTGTGTTGGCTGTTGGTGGGAGGGGAAGTGCTATAAATGCAGACAGAATTAGGGAATGGTTTTGACTTTAGCAATTGCCCCATACTTGGTACAACATAAATCATCAATAAAGTGTTTTTCTACTGGGAGATTGTGTTTTACATATACAAAACTCATAATTTGTGTTTATTGAAAACATTTAGACACTGGAATGTTATTTATGTTTTTAATTTGTCTACATCAGTAAATAACATCCCACTTAGCAAGCAGTAACTGGGCAGAGCATTTACTTCTGAAATACAGGGTCCCCACCTGTTCTGGCCACCTCCATGCTTGGTGCTGCTGATCCATAAGACCATAATCAATGGGTTCAATAAATATTTGTAGACTCCACGGGTGAATGAGTAAATCCTTATAATCTTTCTATTTACCAGAAGAATCAACCCAATACAGAACTTGTTTCGCTGTCTGTTATGCTATTTAATTAACAACATTGGTACCCCTTTGTATTTCATGACTTTTATTTCATGGTAACTATGCAGCAATTTGTCATCTTTACTATCATTGTACATTCAATATGGCATTTTTCATATTACAATTTTTAATTTATAAATTGTACTTTATTATACATCAGCATTCACTTAGGAAGCCCCTTGGAAAACCAGCTTACACCAATCTCATTTCAAAACCTTTACTTGTGCAGAGGCTGAAAGTGTGCAAAACACATTCAAAGTCCTGAGGATAGCTCTAAGAATGAACAAGATTGGAGACCTATTTTCAAAGGCCTTCAAACTGGGAGACAACCCAGTTGGTAACTAAAGCCTATTGAATCTATCCATTAGTATTTCTCCAAACAACCTCCATAGCTACTGACCCAGTTCAGACCCTCACCATTACTTAACTGGACTATTGCAATAGTCTCCTAACTGTCACTTTAAAAAGAAAGCTCTCTTTTCTTTCCTCTTGCCTTCACTTAAGACTAAAATATATTTTGAGAAAAGACAATATCATCAATCCAGGGCATAGAGATTTTAATAAATGGGCTTTTGACATGTTACATCATAAATGAACCTTCCAACTTTGTAAGTGGTCCTTTGACAGGATGCATCATGTCAATCTATAGCTCAGAACCTTTACTGATTTAATCCATAATTCATATAGTAATGGATCCTGAAAATTCCATTGCTTCCTCTCCTCTATCAAGGGCAGCTCTGCTAGTACAATTTGAGATTGATCAGTTGGTGCTATGTGGCTCAAACTGCGTGGTATCCTCTGAATGGACAGATCAGTGGGTCCTCACCCAGTGTTTCTCTAACTTAGGTCATTATTGGACCACTTTACTACCTTGGCTATATCCACTTACCTTTTGTACTATTTTCTTCTTAATTTAAAAAAAAACAGAAAATTTCTTAGCTTACTTGTAAAGGTAATTTTATACTACGAGCGCAAACAGAAAACCAATTTCAATTGTCCTTTAAAGAAGCTTCCACAATACCATAAAGAACAGAGCTGATTCATGTATCAACAGCAGAAAGTCTTTCTCACAATTTGAGAAAGACTGAACTAGAAACTCCAACACCTACACCAATCAGGAAAGGAGCTGGGGAATAATAATACGACATTATAGTTAATTCAACATTGGTTTGACTTAGCATAAATAAAATTAAAATGGGCATGTGACCCGTATATCATGAGGGTCTTCCATGAGTCCCGTGGTAGCTATGCCAGCCAGATCTCCCAGCCGAAGATAGGCTTGGAAGCATTTGTTTCATTGTCTGCTTTTTAATAGAATCAGATGGCTTTCTTGAAAAATTGAAATCCTAAGAGGATCAGGGGATGAATAAGAAGAGAAAAAATGATTTTTGGTGAATAATATTAAAGACACGGAAAAAGAAGGAAAACACGAAGACATGGCAAGGAATCACATAAGCAGAGCATACACAGCCCGAAGACAACTTGGTAGCTCTCCCAGAACAATTTTGGCTTATTGCACATACATTAACCTGAAAATATTAATACTGTTTGTACAGAATAAAGAATATAAAAATCTTCTGAAATGTTAAGTGTTCTTTAACTACGTACATCTAAATAAGAACAGAAAAGCACTTTTTTAAACAGATAGATATTCTTTTGCTTGGAATGTCTGGGCAGAATCAGATTAAATTTCAGATGCTATGAATTTTGTTTACTTTTGGTGCTACTGAATTATGTTAAAAGAGGATGTCAATGGTGATAGTAACAAAGATAGTAACAATTTCTGGCAGTATATAACTTTGCATAACTCCAATTCCTTTTATTGATATACATTAGACCACTCAACAGAATCTCTAATTTAACCCGTATCTCCTCAGCTAGAATAATTTCATTCATGTTTCCTTGTTTTTTTCATTCATTCTTCCACCCATTATATGTTTGTCCCCTCAACTCTATTTCCTGTTGGGAATATAGCAGACAAATGCATTCACACACTTCACCTACCACTCTTCCTGCCAAATGACCTGGAACACTAATGCCTGAAGCCAGGGTCTTCCTCCAGACACCCACGCTTCCTTCAGACAAATCCAAGCTCAACTCAAATATTCCCTTCACTGTGAAGTCTTCTTTGCTGCTTGAGCGCCACCTACTAACACACTATCTGCTGTGACCTCACATTCAGTCACACAAATACACTCCATGGCCTCTTCCTTAGGGCTCAGTATAGTATTTTACACATTTTACACCGCAACACTTACCATACCGTATTACCCAGTTAGCTGCTTACTTTCTTCTTCCCTCACTTAACTGTGAGTTCCTTACAGATTAAGACAATTTATCCTTGATCCTGCCTTAATATAAACAAGACATATAGTATGTACGCAACACATACAGGAAGAACGGAAGATGCAATGGGAAGAAAAGAAGGAGAAAATGAAAATGAAGGAAGAATAACTTTCCTATTGAATTTAACATATTATTAAAAATTCCAAAATTATTATTGAAGCACAACTTTTAAAGAACATATCTGTTGTTCAAAGGAATGTACAAGTGTATGAATATTCTTTGTTAATATGCAAGAAATGTATTGTCAATGATTATGCACAAGTCAGGGATTCTCCACTGAGAAATGAGTCTAAATCAGGAGCTCTGCTGTAGATAGAATGTGGAAGGAAAGAGGAAAGTTTCTCTTCCACATGAATTTGGGGAACACATGCACATCCCAACACACGAAAGAATTGATAAGTCTCTTGAACAAATTCAAATAAAATTTATATTTATTTGTTTAGCAAAATAATTATAACAAATTGTTAAAATTCAGAAACTTTATTTTAAATCATTAGATAGCTGCTTCTGTGATCAACACTGTTTTTAACCTATTTCTGATTTTGTTTTTCCCAGCTAGCTATGATCTACTATTATCAAGACAAGGACATAAAAGAAAAGTAGGTCAGACACGGTGGCTCATGTCTATAATTCCAACACTTTGGGAGGCTGAGGTGGGCAGATTGCTTCCAGCCACGAGTTCAAGACCAGCCTGGGCAACAAAGCGAGACTCGGTCTCTACAAAAAAAAATTAAAATTAGCCAAGCACAGTGGTATGTGCCCACAGTCCCAGCTACTCAGGAGGCTGAGGTGGGAGGATCACTTGATAGCCCAGGAGTTCAAGGCTGCAGTGAGCTATGATACTCCACTGCACACCAATCTGGGCAACAGAGCAGGACCCTATCTCTAAACAAATTAAAATTTTAGAAAAAGAAAGAAAACCACAGAAAATGCAGTATAAAATAACTGGCAAAATTTAATTTTTTTTACCAACTAAATCTTGGGCAGTGTTATAGAAGATAACATAGGGTACACTTCATGAATATAACTACAAAAATAATAATTTCATTTTTTATGTGGAACAATCAGAAGATGTAAATGATAAGGTAAAAAACGAAGTTACCTAGTGAGGGTGGAGTTCAGGGGGTCTTATTAATGGCTCCGTATTACAATCTAGAAACGTCTTTTTGTAGACTAATCATATTGCAGGTCCACGGGAGATTTACAATCTGATTTGCCACAGAGAAGTCCATGTAATCTTCGTTGAGGACTGACACCATTTTATCTTTGCACAATTCCCTGTTTCTCACACAAGTAATTCCGTCCTTTCTACACTGTCAGCTCTGACAGGCTGATTTAATCTGCAGGATTCTGAATGCCTCTGACCACTGCAGCGAGTCATTAACCTTGACTCGCATAATTGAATTCAAGGTTGATTGCCTGTGACCCTCTGCGCTGAGGTCTTCTAAATGTACATATTCATTACTGGCAGCCTCGCTAAACGGATTGCACAAGGAAAGCTGTAGCAGTCGGCCTGTTTGGTATGCAGGGGGCGAAGAGGGCACTAATTGCATGTTAGAGCTGAGGATTAGATTATGAAACGAGTGAGAAAATGAAGATAGATCCTCTGACACTGTCAGATTAGGGGCAGCAACGTGAGGGAATATGACATTGAAATTTACAGTGACATTAACAGAAGGAAAATTAGAAACAAATAGACATTGGACATTTTTTGAAAATCTTCATATTTTCTACCATCACCTAATATGAGATATGGGAGCTAATGCTTGTATCTGTTTTCATTTGCATAATCACAGCAGAACAATGGAAATTTTTAAGTAGCTTTTTTGAAGACTAGGAAATCACATTATGGTCACCATAACACCACACATTATGCAATATCTAGGCCATGTTTAAATAATTGGCTTTACACCCCAGATGCCATTTTCAGTTGCCAAGAAAAGATATTCATACAACTTCAGTAAGCCCTAAGAATATACAAATATTTGTGTTCAAAATTATTGCAAACAATTCTGCCAACCAATACTACAGGATGCAATTTTGGTGAACCAGCTTATAAAATTATCAGCTTTTCTACTTTTTGATTGATTTTCGTGTCAGTTCATTGTTAAAACAAGTGCTTACTTGTTCACATCAAACAAGTATTCCAGCACAAGCAGATGCTCAAGTTAATAGCAAACAGTTCTACTACAAATCACTTCCATTTTCTAAAAGGAAATGTCCACACTATTACAAATGCAACAACAAATAACTTGACCAGAGGTGAGGCTGTGTATAAATTTCAGAGACCTCTTTCTTTCCCATTTAGGAGTGGGATACTACTTGAGAAACCTTTTCTTGTACTTTTGCCAATTGTGTTATGATTTATTTTAAAGGAAAATGACAGCCTGTCTTTCTGACAACAAAAAACATACAAAACTTAATGGCATAGGATGTTTAAAAACTAAACACAAAAGCCCCTGGTGTTCAGTGACAGCTAGAAATGAGTGTTACATTGGTTAAAAGTTACACTGTATCTCTAGAGAACGCAAGTTCAGTTTTACTTTGTTTTGCTTTTGCTTGGTTTTTAAAACAAGCCCATGGAATGGTTCCTATGGTACCACAAGATAACACTCCAGAAATGTTCCACGGCATTTTTATAATAAATGGTTAACTTGGTTTGCATTGATCTTTAAGAATGAAATTTATTTTTGCTACTTTAAAAACCTCTAAATGGAAGAAGTAACTTCCTAATAATTATGCCTTGCTGAGAAATCTCCTACTCTGTTTAAGAAATAAGCTCATGAATCAAGATTTACAGCAAAAAGAATTGCGGATGACTTCAGTGCCTGGGGACATTCATGCTTTTGAGAGATTGCATAGATGGTCTCCAATTCACCTTCCTGAGACATTTAAATGATTACCGATAGTTGTATTTATACCTGTCATCCAAATCTATTATGTACATAATTAAGTTAACTTTTAAATGAACCAACATTATCTTTTCCTTTAATCAGAGGAAATAAGGAGCACTGGAGTTCATGCTAGACAAGTGTCAAGATCTAAGTTCCAATACCAACTCTGTTATTTTTTGGCTGTGTAGCACTGGGCCAATCACTTGCCATTTCAGACTGGCTTCCCTACAAGTTTTTTGTGAAAATAGCTGCAAAATATTACATAATTTGGTACTACTGGGATTACCAAAACTGCTTCAGGTATCTCTTGTTGCCTAACAAGCAACCCCAAAATGCAGTGGCTTAACACCACAATGATTTGTCAGTGTTCAGGATTCTGCGAGGTGACAGTTTGAGCATTTCTCCTGCTGATCTTGCCTGGGATCATTCCTGAGCCTGCTATCATCTCTCTGATGGCTTGACTGAGGTAGAGGGTCCAAGATGGCCCTATTTACATGTCTGGCAGTTGGTGCCAGCTGTTAACAAGGACTCCAGTCTATTCCTCAGTTTTTCTGACAACAAAAAACATACAAAACTTAATGGCATCAGATGATTAAAAACAAAAACACAAAGGCCCTTGGTGTTCAATGATATCTATTCTACAGTCTCTCATCCTCTAATAAGCCAAAATGGACTTCTTTGCAGCGTGATGGTCTCAGGGTTTCAAGATGGTAAGAGCAGATACCAAAACTCTCCTCATGGCCTGGACTCTGGAGCACACAACATACATCACTTACACCATACTCTATTGGTCAAAGAAAAGCCCAAAGCCAGCCCAGATTCAAAGGAGTAGAGAAATAGATTCCATGTCATGGTGAAAGAAGTGACAAAGTTCCATAGGAAAGGGACAAAGACCCAGGAAGGCTTGATTCATTGAGAATTATCATTATAACAATCTATCCACTAAAACATGTATAGCAAGAATTAATGTAAAAGAAAACACACTAATTCATTGATATTTAATTTGTGCTTTCTGGTACTGCCAAAATGGAAATTCCTTGCCATCTTCCTCTTCCTCTGATGGCTCATTTAGTGTGTGAATGGTTGGCCTGAAGTTGTGACCCACAGGGTTTGATCCTAGTTCTGATTCTGACAGGTGTCTATGGAAGCAAATATAAATGCTCCTCCACCAGATTTGCCACCGGCATTTGGCACTACACAGTGGCACAATAATTGAGCATGCTAAGCTCTATTTAAGTCTCAAAGCATGGATTTAAATCCCAACTCTATCAATTACTAGCTAGATAGCTTTGAGTAAGTTACTTACTCTCTCTAACCTCAGTATCCCCATTTGTAAAAGGGAGCCAATGATAATAACTACTTCATAGAGTTGTGGTACAGATTAAATTAAGATAATTCTTGTGAAGCACTTAGTGCCATGCCCAACACACTACATGCTAAGCATGATAGCTGTTATTTGCAGTATTTATCTGTATCTGGACTCAGGATGGAGCATCATGCTGGAGAACCAGTCTTGTCAGTTCATTATCCAAGGATCTGAGATACAACCTGAGTTGTTTATGTCATAATTAAAAATATTTTTTACCTGCCTCTTAATACTAATCAGTTAATAACAATGATATAAAAAATAGAGCTCTCTCATCTCTGAGTCTGCCCTAAAGCCAAAGGTGTTGAAAAACGGCTGACCCCCCATTTTTGTTTCTAACCACATCAGACATCTGTTTCTGACCACATCAGACGCAGTGGGCAGCTTTTGTTCTCCTTTCTTTCAATTAGGAAATGTGCATGTGTCCTAATGGAAAAATAATATTAGCTCTGTACTTGTCCAACTAACAGTTTAGATCATCCACATTCTCTTCTGTCCTGCTTGGAGAGTTGGATCTTCACCATATTGATCACCCATCATGATTGTTTGCTATTCAACTTCCTGCCAAGGCAGAATAAAAAATGAGAAAGTGTTTTACTAACTCTAAAGCACTGTATACACATAAGGCATATTACTATTATTATTATTACTATCTATTATTTAAGACAGCCTCATCTTCTTAAACAGGGCAAAGCCCTGGGTTACCATTTTACCTGCATGGCCACAATATCCACCACACTATGTTTCGAAAAATAAGTCATCCTTAATGCCAGTGTCAACAAGTCTCATGAAAACAAAGGAACCAGAAAAATACTTATGAAAAGCAATTTGGAAGATTTTTAAGTTCTAAAGTTAATTGAAGTGACAATATATGGTCCATATGTTAGTTTTCCCTTAACAGCCATAGTACAGCTACTGAGATTCAATAAATGTTAATGGCATTTAAGACAGCAAACAAAGAAGCTCTGATGTCTATCTGGATTAAATAATGCCAAATAATGACTTATCCAGCACCTACTCTGAACTCAAAGAAGCCCAGAGCACCTTATAATATGTGTTCAGGACCGGGTCGCCCACCACTAGCCTCAACCACTAGCCTGGGATGCATTGGAGAGTAAAATGTTTATGTGCACTCTCTCTCCAAAGACATCCTCTCTTTTCTTCTGTAGGCTACCCACAACCGTACCTCCACACCAATCCTTGTTGCCTGAAAAAAAGTCAACTTGAGGCAGCTCCCTCTACAGCACTGACAAATATTCTGGCTGTTACAGTTGTTGTTGTTCCTATGTGATTTTTCTTTATTTATTTACATTGCTTAGGGGACAAGAAGGGTGAGACAGAAGCCAGAAGTTAAATAAGTAATGGCCAAGTATATGGAGGGTTAAATTCAACAAAAAAGAAAAACAACTAGTTTTTATGCCTTTGATCATAAATGACTTCTCCCCTCTGTATCTCTTCCAAGGAAGTTTGCATTTGGGAAAATTAAGGGAAAACAGGATTTTTCTCAGAATCATTGCATTACCATGTCAGCCAGTGAGTGATAAGTTATGAGCTAGAGTACAAGGTCCCTGCCCCTCAGTAATTTACATTCTTTCAGAAAAGCAGGACATCAAGGATTAAACAGCCCCTAGGGTGGCATGTGATGAGGGCCAGTGGGTGGGACAGACAGCAAATGCTACAGGCAATCGATGGAAGGATAGCAGCATTATCTAGGAAGTGGTGGGAAAACTAAGTAGATGGGTCTTGAACCAGGCTTTGAAACAAGGGCAGGACATGGGTGACCCCAGAGGAGAAGTGGGCCTCCCACATACACAAACATAAACTGCATATGTTTATATTTGCGTAACTGTGAGGTTAGTTGCCCTAGAACAGAATTTTTAGGGAATAATAATAGGATGTGAAATATTTGTTAGTTGTATTGAGGTATAATTGATACATTTTTAAATTTCAAACATTTGGTGTATACATCTTGATGAGTTAGAGCATACTCATATGCCTGTGATACCACCACAACAACCAAGGTACTAAACATGAGATGTCATTTTTAAAAAGCATCTTACATTTGTGCTTTACTAAGGTGTTTAAATCATATTATCTTATTTGATCCTCATGACCCTTTGCAGCAGATAAAAGATACACTAAGAGAACAGATGAAGTGTGCAGTTACCAGCTCGCAAAAAGCAGAGACAGAACAAGAATCCAGGTTTTTGGCTCCCTTGGTCATAAGGATGATGTGAGGACTAAATGGGATAATATTTAAGGTGCTAAGAACAGTTCCTGGCACATAGTAAAACCTCAATGAATGTTAGCTATTATTACTACTTTTATCATCATCATCATTATTATTACAGTGAAGAGTTTAGACTCTGCCCTCTAAGCCCATGTTTCCTAAACTTCATTGTGTCTTGCCTTCACTTCGTCATTCTGCCCTGTTAGGATGCTTTCAGCTGCAAGTAGCAGAAAAAAAAAAAGGGGGGCGGGTATTTGTTGGCTCAAGTATCTGAAAATTCCAAAGCTATGGTTTGAGCTGGCCTCTGACTCCCTTTGTCTGCTGTTCTCCAGGTTCTGACCTCCTTTGTATGTCTACTTCATCCTGAGGACAGCTTTTCTGTTTTGTGGGGGGGTTGGGGGGGAAGAGCTCCCTCTCTCCAAAGACCTCCTATCCACACACAAGACTGTCCAGAAGGAATGAGAGGGTTGCTTCCTTCTATCATTGAGTAAAGTCCAGAGTTTTACTCTGATTGGACCACCTTAAGTTCTGTGCCCATACCTGGACCAATCATTGTGGGAAGGGGTTGGCATCCCACTAATGGGCTTGGGTCATTCAGGGTCCTTTTCTGGCCTGCCTCATCAGCATGGCTGCTGCAGGGTGAGAGAGGTGGAAGAGTGCTAGGGATACACAGCAAAGTCCTCCAGACCATGGAACCACCTATGATATCACTTAATTAATTTTTTTCTTTAAAAGAACTCCCTTTTTAAAATTATTCCCTCATTCTAAGCCTCAATATCTGTCAAATCACAGGTGTGTGTAACAGCTGTTTTTTATTTAAAATAAATGCATAAGTATAAAAATTTAAAAATTGTTGATCCACTGCAAATATCATCCCACTTTTATCACTGCTGAAGGCTTCTATTCTGAGTTCAGTATTTTTATTTCCATTCCAGAACTCTCTAATCTTTAGGCCATATTAATATCCATAGCCAGTTTTTTTTCCATTCTTTTCAAGTAACATTTTCTATGCTCTGTCTGACTGCAATGGAAAAAATTAAAACCCCATCACACGGCAAAGCCAGCATAACTGTTGCCTGGTTGACTTTGCAAAACAAAGGGGAACAAAACAAAACAAAACACCCATTACATCATGAAGCCAACGTAACTGTTGCCTGGTTGACTTTGCATCCAGAGAGGCCTATGGCTGTAAAGGGCTGGAGTCACTGGCAGAACCTCAAACCTCAGCCTGCAAACACCATGTCCTGTAAAAAGGCAGTCTTGGCTGGTGTTGGCTTATGGTTCCAGTCTTCTAATGCAGGCATTTCATTGGAAATGACTGCTGGTGAAGATGACTTCAGGAAAGACAGGGAGAAAAATTGAGATATCTGGGCCTGAGGAAATTCTAAATCCAGTACACCCATGTCATAAACTCTCCTAGCAAAAAGCGTAACTTCATAAATAAGCATAGGAGCCCAAGATAAGAATAAGGAGAAAGAGCCCAGGAATTAAATTTACATCATTCATCTGGGTAATGGAATCTCCAGTTAGCCCCTTCTTTCTCTTCGTAGCTGTCAGTTGCAATTGGCATGAGTTTTCTAGACCAAGCAGGCAGCCACAGCCCCAAACAGAGAGTCCTAAGAAAATGCTTTCTTGCTAAGGATACAAGCTGTTAAATCTATATCAAAGGGATAAGATTGTCAAACCCAGCCCTTACACCCCAGGAAAGGGCAGATATGCCAGCCTTACCTTAGAGGAAAAGCTTGCTTGGTTTTCTTGGTAAACCAAACTCTAGACTTAGAATCAGGAAAGAGTATCCTGGCTCTGCTGCTTAAGGGTCATTGGTATTTCAGCTTGCCTATGGGAGGTTCACAGGTTCTGTTTGTCAAACAGGATTTGGTATCTTCTCAGTGAATACAGTTTAAATTGAGCTAAGCTATCAATGAAAAATCTTAAATATATGATGAGGCAGGTTCATTTTATTGTTGAAGACTAAAACCAAAAGTTTTTGCAGAAATGTGTGAAAAGAGTTCTTAAACAAAACATTCCAAAAGTTGGCAATTTGAAAAGATGGCAATATATCAAACCACCTCCCTGTTGTGTGCACATACATGTGCCAGTTGCCAATTCCTCTCTCATAACCACCCACATATCCCGGTCAGGAATGAACCTCACCAACATCCCCCTGGGATAGCAGTAAGAGCATCTTCCTTGTCTCCCAACCTCTGGTTCCACTCCACCCCATGCCAGCCTCCCTATTTCTTTCAATGGAATCTTTCTAAAGTGTAAATATGATATAGTCCCTACCCTGCTTAAAACCCTAAGTGAGTCCAATAGCTTCCAGAGAATGTCCAAATTTCTTTGCCTGACACCAACCCTTTTGTGATGTCACTTGCTGGTCACTACTTATCTCCCACCACTTACCTGCCCCTGACTCAAGCATGCTTCCTTTTTGCCATAAGAACTGCATAAAGGTATATCATATTTTTAGGTGTACATCCTCTGCACCTGCTATCCTCTGCCAACTAATTCCTACTTGTGTTTTAAAACTTAACTTCAAGAAACCATCACATGCACACACACACAAGTCTGGTTTGGATTCCTCTTCTTAGTGACCCCTCACACCTTCTGCACATTTGATCTTGGTGCCTACCATAATGTCCCATAATTGTTGACATATTCTCCTTCTGTTTTGTTAAACTGCAAGCTTTTTGAAGGAAGAGATTTTGTTCCATTTGACTTAGAAGCTTAGTTTCTGGCCTACCTCACCAGTATCTCACATCTAGGTATTCAATAGATGTGATTCCTGATTTAACTGGTATTTTATAGAGTGCTGGTTCAAGGAACTTGATTGTTGCTTTAAATACATTATTTGGTAAGAGTTTGCTACCGCTTCCTAAATATGAGGTGCCATTTTTATCAACCATTCTTCACTTTTTAAAAAGTGGAAACATTTATTCCATGTTGAAAGACAAAAATCTGATTGTAACATTCACATATAGCGGAGTCTTACCCTTAATAGAAACCTAAAACATGCCTAAGAAGGGCATAAATATTTACCTCTAAACCTGAAGACTTATAAAGTGATAGTTAATGTCACATAAATTAGAAGAAGACATTTTAGTGACTTCTTAGAGCTCACAACTAGGACAAAATCTGGATCATAAAATATAACTCGCAGTCCTTGAAACTGCTCAGATTAGTCTCTTCAGACCCAAAGCTTTTTGTTTAAAAAAATGCTAGGACAAAGCACTTTGAGCTCTTAGGATGTAAAGAACTTTAGAACTGCAAAGCATTGTTTGGAGTCTCCTGCAGCCTTGTTATGCTATTGCTGCCATATGATTCCACTTTGGACTAGTATCTGTCCCATCTTTCATGAATCTCGCATTGCTCCTTTTCTAGCCTCCAGTCCTTCTAGAGGCTCTGAGGTCTCCCCAGCGGGCCTCCTTCTGGAGCCACCTGATGCTCCAAGCCAAGATGGTTCCAGTATCAGCCTTGATGTGCAGCCCTACATCTGTAAGACATCTGTAGCATCTGTAGACAATGTTCTTTACTCTTCATCATCATTTTATTTTGTCTACAGAAAAGAGTAAGTGCAATGAGTGGTTTTGGGTTTTTTTTTAATTTAAAAAAATTTTAAATCTTTTCTGTGGTAGAAATTACTGTTCACATTTTTTATCTCTTTGTGATTCTCCCAAATCTAAGCCATCAAGTCTCCTTTGGAAAACAGCTGCTCTTAATACCTACAGGATTTTCTTTAGTGGGAGTTAAGGTCAAAATCTGAATTCTAAATGCAGAAAATCACCAGGTCAATGAATTCTCAATGATATGTGGCATTTTCAGTCTCTGTTTCATCTGATCCCATTCACACAACTTATTCACATATTCATTCACTTAACAAAGATTTATTGGGCAGAAGTGTTGAGGAATAGTGTGTTGTGAGTTGTTGATACCCAGAGGAATGGCACCCTTCCTGACCTGAATCAGCTTAAGGCTTATTGTATAAACAGACATGCACACAATTACAACATAACATTCTCCTTGATAACAGAGGGGGCAGTTGGTATCATTGGAGCCGAAATAGAGGCCTGAACTTTTGAGACAGGCAATAGATTTCTAGAGGAAAGGAATCAGCTCAATGTTTTGGGGGGGAAATAATGATGATTAAAGGGCAAACAAGAAGCTGGGCATGAGAAGAAGGGTAGAAAGGGCAAACTAAATGGAAAAAAAGAGCACATTGCAAAGGTTCAGGGGTGGAAGGTTTCAAGTAGTTCTGCATTGTTAAGACAGCATGGCAGTAACGATGCTGGCAGTTATGGGTCAGGGCAAAAAGTGTTTGATAGGCCATACTAAGGAGCTCCAATTCTTTCTGGGAGGCAATAGAAAACACTGGAGAATTTTGAGCTTGAAAAGTACCCGAGGAGATCTTTATGATAGAAACATCACTCCGATGGCTAAGTGGTAGGTGAATCAGAAGTAGGTAAATTAAAGGCACAAAGTCAGGGAGGGAGCTATAGCAATAGCCCATGAAACAGGAGACAAGAGCTGGAACCAAGGCAGCCACCATGGGATTAGAAAAGAGAGGCAGGAATAGAGAGAGATCTGGGATGTAAAAAGGGCAGGATCTGGCTGGGCACGGTGGCTCATGCCTATAATCCCAGCACTTTGGGAGGCCGAGGCAAGTGGATCACCTGAGGTCAGGAGTTTGAGACCAGCATGGCCAATATGGTGAAACCCCATCTTTACTAAAAACACCAAACTTAGCCAGGCATGGTGGCGGGCACCTGTAATCTCAGCTACTTGGGAGGCTGAGGCAAGAGAATTGCTGGAACCCGGCAGGCAGAGGTTGCCGAGATCACACCATTGCATTCTAGCCTGGGTGACAACAGCGAGACTCTGTCTCAAAAAAAAAAAAAAAAAAAAAGTGCAGGGGCTCTATCTTGTGGTGGAATAGGTGTGGGAACTCAGAAGAGAATGAATAAGAAGACTGCAAAGTGGAAACATTGCAGTTTTTACATGACTGCAAAGACAAAAAGCAGCCATGCAAGGGTGTTGGCTAACATCACCTATTCCTGGCAAACTCTGGGAGAAGAAATTTGGGAGGAGAAACTGGGTCTCAGCCTTCCTCTTCTTTGCAGGAGATGTCATTTGTTGAATCCTTTCCCAGTTTCACAAATATCAGGATTCAGCACCTGCACTTACCACAACCCAGATCAACACATTATCTATGAATCCATCATCTATTATTTTACTAACAAATGATGAAGAATTTTTTTGTCAGTAGTTTCATGCTCTGCAATGTCAACTCAGTTTGATTGAATTTCTTTTACCTCCCAGTTCTCCTCTTTATTACAAGATACTGTTAATAATTAGGTACCCATAGAAATGTTTTCAATTGTCTAAAGATGGCCATCTTGTCATTGTTTTTAAAAATACACATCAGGCCAGGCACGGTGGTTCACGCCTGTAATCCCAGCACTTTGGGAGGCCGAGGCGGGCAGATCACCAGGTCGGAAGATCGAGACCATCCTGGCTAACATGGTGAAACCTCGTCTCTACTAAAACACAAAAATTTAGCTGGGCGCGGTGGCGGGCACCTGTAGTCCCAGCTACTCTGGAGGCTGAGGCAGGAGAATGGTGTGAACCCGGGAGGCGGAGCTTGCAGTGAGCCGAGATCGCGCCACTGCACTCCAGCCTGGGCGACAGAGCGAGACTCCGTCTCAAAAAAAAAAAAAAAAAAAAATACACATCATTTTTTTGTCCTCATTAATCAGCATAAGTTAACTTCGTTTTACACCAACCTATATACAGAGATGGGCAAATCTTACAAAGTTTTTGTGCTGTTAAATCCTTGACATACTTTCGAAAAATTGTTTTTTTCCAGTGTAATGACTTTTAAAATTGTGATAGCATAGTTAGGAATGTTATTTGTCCTTTGCACTCTTTTGTAACACTTTTTATACAGAGAAATCAAAGCTATTTGATGCCAGGATTTCTCTGTTTCCTTGATCTCCCTAAAAGAGATCATCGTGCTAATAAAGATTTTTTCTTTTTTAGTATAATTTAAAAATTTTTTATTCATAAATGATGGCAAACTATATGCATTAAATAAAGCTGATGACACACTAATTTTAAACCTACTGAGAGTAGAAACAAGGTACAAATATTGTAAGTAATGTGTTTATGGACAAGCCTAGAATCATGGCAGCATATTGAATTAGGTATAGAAACCCTAGAGCTTAAAGCATTGTACCAATTCAGCTAGCACCCATCAAAATTCCTTTTTATCCTCTAGTAGAGTGGTAATTGCAAGGAAAATGCATAAATTTAGGAAGAGATGCCCAATTTTAATCCAGATGAAAAATATTTTTATTGAAATTGGGCCTATAAGAATATTTTAAAATTTTACTTTGCTTTAAGCCAACTAAAACACATGCTAACTTTAATTTGTGTTTTTATACAAATAGTTTTGGGCACATAAATAGCATAATTTTACATTGGCAAATCTTCTCTGTATTCTTTAATAATTTATTATCTTGAAGGTATTTTTCAGCTCTTACAGTTTAAAATTTTTTTAAGGGTAATTCTACCTTCCATGCAAAAGAGAGGCTTTCCATTTATAAGCCTGTTACCTAGAGGCACAATTAAAATGGAAACATTAAATAGAAATAAAACATAATTCTTCAGTTATTTTCATCCACCAGCTGGCTCATTTCATAGACTCCCTCTTCGGTGAGTTCCAAATACATTAGTAGTTAGTTGATTACCTATTTGCATATCCTTCAAATTATAAAATTTAACTGTCTAAGTTCTAATTCAGGTAATCCTAAATGTTTGCATATTACAGACAAAGCTTTTTTGTGTCAACGAGCTGGAACTTTGGACCAAGTTCCTTCATCAATGTTTTCTTCAGATACATCTTTACATTCCTCAAGCTTTAAGAATTTCTTCACCAAGCCCTCCTGTTCTCTCTCTGGAGTGAGCCTACATTAAAAATACACCAGTCACTAAAAGTTTCCTTGTTAGGATCTCAAAGTTGCCTTTGAATTGTTAGGAGCAAACTTAAAATTAAAATTTCCCTTTTTTTGAGTAAGGAAGACTAATACTGATTACTTTCATTTATTTTTATTCTTAAGCACCTTGAGGTACCTCTGAGTGAAGCTGCACTGAATTGATTCAAATATGTAGTGTTGTGATAGCTGGTTATGATTTTCTGGTGTTTTTCTGCAACTCTAACCATATGTAATTTTGAATTAAATGAAAGTTAAGTACTAAAACGTTTTGCCCAAAGGGAATTCGGATTCTCAATGTGCTTTTAATAACTGTTTGTAAAACATTTAAGAAAATCTATGACAACATATTTAGGAAAAAAATCAAATTACTATTGCCTTAAGATGTTATTCCAGTTTCTCAACTTTATGAAACATCCTGTGTGGCCCAATTGTTGAACTAATCCAGTCAGTAATACTTTAGAACGTATTGTACATGTAGGATCTGAATTTAATTTGTATATTTTTAATAATAAATCTTTAAAATACTTTAAAACTCAATGAAATTATTGTGGACAGTGCAAAAGAAGTCTCGTCAAATGTTTCTGAAAAATTGCAAATACAGTCTAATTAGAAAGCATTAAAATTAATTCATGGAATCAGACTTAAAACTATTATACCACTGCTTCTTTTAAAAACAAAAGTATTAGAAGTCCTCAAGAGTTCTGCAAAATCTAAAATAAAAGGTCATGGTGTACCCAAGACATAAGATAAACAAATACAACCTTCAGTGGAAATGGAAACAGTGGGAGAGGGATTTCCAGAAGGCTAGTTGGTTGTGTAGACTTTTCTTCTTATGGTACAATTTGAAAAATGAACTCAAGTTGGAATGTGACCTGAATTTCCATTTTCTCTGACACACAGAAATGGCTATGTACCTAATTTGAGAAAAATTCAAACCATAACCTTCAATGTACATCTCAGAATCTGTGCTAAATGCGAATACTGGAATCACCTTTCATCCAGAAAGATGGTGTCCTTGAATCTAACCAGGCGATAATGAGCTTTCTTTTTCTCACATTTGTAATCCCTCACCCAAAGCATCATTAGAATACAACCATCCCATAGTACAGTCGAAGTCATTTCTTTTACTGTTTGTTCATGTTTTTATTTCCCTCTGTGGCCATGAAAACAATTACAGAAACTTGTAAAATTTGTAATCCATTTCCATCAAGAAACAAGTGAATTACAATGATCTAAAACAGAATGGCAGATAAAGGCTTTACTCTGAAAAGATCAGATTTTCTAAGTAACTGGTATGTCAGAAGCATCTCCAGCGAAAATATGACCAGAATTTTTATCCATCACTCATTAAATTACAGCATTGTGTGACTTTATAAGCCCTGACTTCACTGCATCCTTATTTAAGGTATTATTAATAAATGATTGAAAATATGGGTATTCTCTTTGCACTTCACACATTTCTGTATTATTTGGATTTTTTTAACAACAAGAATAGATTAAATCAATTTGATTGGAGTTTCTTTACCTGCTGGTTACATAACACTTTCAAGGGTTGTTGTGACTAAGCATCAATGATTGTTGTTGAAGATGGGTTGATGGATACATGCAGGTTCACTGTACTATTCCCTCTGATTTTATGGATTATGGATTATTTGACAATACCCAAAACAAAAAGTTTTTCAAAGAATGTATCATTTTAGTAATTTACAATATGAAGTTCTGGGGAAATAGGTTTTCTGTGATCTGCACAAGCTTGTAATTTGGTAGTATAGAAGTTGTCAATCTCAATTCCTTGCTTTATTTTAGAACTTGAAACTTGTATAAAAAGCTTCCTTCACATACTCTGCATAGAAGAAAAAATCAATAATGCAATAATAAAAAAACAAACTCCAAATAAAGTTATTTACAAATATGGACTTTTAATTGACCTGAAGCAGGAGTCCAGATGATATATGCTGAGGTTGAATTAAACTACTACCCAAGATTTTTTAAAAACTACTATTTCTTAAAATGGGCCACTTGGGGTGCAACGGTCCTTTCAACCATAAAATGCCGGATGTCCTTGGATTTTTTAAGTATTTACCACATTTAATAATAAAAAAGAAAAACTAACATTTCCTGAGTGCCCAATATCTAAGGGGTGTGCTACGTGCTTTACAAGCATTATCTCTTTTTAATTGTCATAAAACCTTGGGGTAGGTACTTGTGCTCATTTTACAGAGAAGAAAACTAAAGTTAAAGGAGGATTACAACAGAAGATCCCCCAGTGGACTCGTGACAGGGTTGGGATTTGCTGCTAAGCAGTCTGGCACCAGAACCTATGCTCTTGGCCCAATCTCTGATCAACAGAGGAAATATGAGATTAAAATATACCCAAATTGTGTGTGGTAAAGTAAGGCCACACAACTTTAAAAAAATTGCTGAAAACAAATAATTAATAGATATGAAAGGGCTCTGAAATGTATCATTTTAAAGTACTTCTCGGTGAATTATCCCACCGATCCTGATAACATAAGTTTGAGCCTCCATATTAAAGCCAAAGAGGCCCAAGCTGAGAGCAGACTGGTTTATGAATATTCATTAAGAACAGAGCCTGAGCCAGGCACAGTGGCTTACGCCTGTAATCCCAGCACTTTGGGAGGCCGAGGTAGTTGGATCACTTGAGGCCAGGAGTTCGAGACCAGCCTGGCCAACATGATGAAACCCCATCTCTACTAAAAATACAAATAGCCGGGCGTGGTGGCGGGCACCTGTAATCCCAGTTACTCAGGAGGCTGAGGCAGGAGAATCACTTGAACCCAGGAGGTGGAGGTTGCAGTGAGGTGAGAGGCAAGATCACGCCACTGCCTCCAGCCTGGGCGACAGAGAGAGACTCTGTCTCAAAAACACAAAACAAAACAAAAAAAAGAACAGAGCCTGAATCTTCACCCCAATCTGAGTTCAAATCAATGTCTAATTCTACAACTTCCCAGCTACCTCTACAGCATGACCTTCAGGGTGCACTTTTTAAAATTTTGTATTATAATTATTTGGGCCTGCTTTTCCCATATTTTTATAACCCCAAATGCTGAAATTTGAAAAATCTATTTTGGGGACAGGAAAGAAAGCCTTTAACCATTTATGCAATTCCAAGGTCATTTGACGTTCTGGTTTAAATGACCTCCAGGGAACTGGGACTAGGGTATCACTTTAAAGCTCAGTAAGTGCTTCTAATGGGCATCAGGGGTGGAGAACCCCTTTCCCTAGAGGATTGCTGGAACATAGCCTGCAAAGCTGAATCAAGTTAAGTTCAGCCACCATGTAGAACACTGAGAAAGTCAGCTTTACAGGCACATGCCTCAGGCTGAGAGGAAAAAGCAGTCAGGGAAGAAAAACAAAGGAGCATGACACTAGCAAAGGTAAATCTGCCCTTACAACTAAGAGAATGCAGAAAATCCTCCAATTCCTTCACTCTGTGGAGGATGTGAAGGAGAGGGTGAATATTTCTAGGTGCTTGGGGGAAAATGCTTACAGGTGTGACTGTAATTTTATTTAACCCTCACTATTGAGCCATTTCTGAACAGGTATACTTCCTGGCCCTAAAAGCTGCTTGTTCTACTCTGCTATTAGTGCAACTAGAGCATCTGTAAGAAAAAATAAGAGCATTTTTAGGAAAATCCAATTGAATGGATTGCCAAAGGGGATTACTGTTTGAATCCATACCAGCATCATCTCTTGATTTGTCTACTAAGAATTTGTCAACAATGAGATTTTATATAAATGAATATAACTATAGTACTAGCCATCAGCTAAAGGTACAAGTTGGGAAGAAAAGAATAAGGTAAAAAGGAAAAAGAGGGGCCTTGAAAAGGAGAGGAAAGTGTACCTCACACCCACTAAGATGACAAATAATCAAAAAGATGGACACACCAAGTGCTGATGAGGATATGAAGAAACTGGAACCTTCATACATTGCTGGTGGGAATAGAAAAAGGTACAGCCATTTTAGAAAACAGTTGACGGTTTTTTTTAAGTTAAAAATATACTTGCCATGTGATCCAACAATTCCACTCCTCAGAATATACCCAAAAGACATGACACACACAGCCTCATAAGTGAATTTTCATAGCAGAATTATTTATAAATGCAAAAAAGTGGAAATGACTCAATGTCTATCACCTGGTAAACGATAAAGTGTGCTGCATTGATACAATGGGTTACTACTAAGTAATATAAAGGAGTGAACAAGCATGGATGAAGCTCAAAAACATTATATCAAGAAGTGAGACATAAAAGGTGACTTACTGCTTGATTTCATTCACCTGAAATTCCTAGAAAAGGCAAAACTGTAAAGACAGAAGGCAGATCAACAGTTGCCTGTGCAGAAATGTTGGAGCAAAAATTGACTACAGATGAACTATGGAATTTTTGGAGTGATAGACAATGTTCTACACTTGGATTGTGGTGATGGTTGTGCAAATGTATAAATTTACTAAAAATTATTGAACTGTATATTTACAATAAGTGAATTATACAGTATGTAAGTTAAACCTCAATAGAGCTGTTAAAATATTGTTTTAAAATACGTGAAGACAATAGCAAAGACTTGGAACGAACCCAGATGTCCAACAATGATAGACTGGATTAAGAAAATGTGGCACATATACACCATGGAATACTATGCAGCCATAAAAAATGATGAGTTCATGTCCTTTGTAGGGACATGGATGAAATTGGAAATTATCATTCTCAGTAAACTATCACAAGAACAAAAAACCAAACACCGCATATTCTCACTCATAGATGGGAATTGAACAATGAGAACACATGGACACAGGAAGGGGAACATCACACTCTGGGGACTGTTGTGGGGTGGGGGGAGGGGGGAGGGATAGCTTTAGGAAATATACCTAATGCTAAATGACGAGTTAATGGGTGCAGCACACCAGCATGGCACACGTATACATATGTAACTAACCTGCACATTGTGCACATGTACCCTAAAACTTAAAGTATAATAATAATAAAATAAAAAAGAGCAAAGAACATGAAATAAATAAATAAATAAATAAAAATAAAATACATGAAGAATAAGAGATATGGAAACGATAAGAACATTCATGGAATAGGGGAAAAGAAAGACAGGTACAAACTCACTAACAAGCCATATCCACTTGGATTGTGGAAGCAGGCACAGTGCTTTCTTGTTACCTGTGTTTTGATTTTTCTTTTTTGAGACAGAGTCTCTCTGCAATGCCCAGACTGGAGTGCAATGGTGTGATCTCAGCTCACTGCAACCTCCATCTCCCGGTTTCAAGCGATTCTGCAGCCTCAGAGGCCTCCTAAGTAGCTGGGATTACAGGCACCTGCCATCATGCATGGTTAATTTTTGTATTTTTGTAGAGATAGGGTTTCACCATGTTGGCCAGGCTGGTCTTGAACTCCTGACCTCAGGTGATCCACCTGCCTCGACCTCCCAAAGTGCTGGGATTACAATCGTGAGCCAGTGCGCCTGGGCTTTTTTCTTTCTTTTTGAGATGGAGGCTCACTCTGTCTCCCAGGCTGGAGTGCAGTGGTGTGATCTCAGCTCACTGCAACCTCCACCTCCCGGGTTCAAGCAGTTCTCCTGCCTCAGCCTCCTGAGTAGCTGGGACTACAGGCACATGCCACCACACCCGGCTAATTTTTGTATTTTTAGTAGAGATGGGGTTTCAACACGTTGGCCAGGCTGGTCTCAAACTCAGGTGATCTGCCCACCTCAGCCTCCCAAAGTGCTGGGATTACAGGTGTGAGCCACTACATCTAGCCTGTGTTTTGTTCTTTAAGTGTTTATGTGGTAGAGTCAAATTGTGCACTTAAAGAGTTTACATAATTTTAAGAATATTTAGTGTGAACAGAATAATTTCAAATGCTCTAGCAGCTAAGAAAAATTGATGAAGTAGAACAACACATATATATTTGCCATTGCTTCTTTGTACGTTGCATTTCCCTGAGCATTTGGTTTCTTGATTTAAGTTGCATATACTATTGCCTTCGCACCAAGTAGATTATACCAGTTTATACCAGTTCCACACCATTTTCAGTAGCTTGCAGTACCGTGAAGTTAAGTGGAATTGCTGCTTCTTGACATTGCCAGGCACCATTTCTTATGACTTGAAGAAAATATTTCCATTTCCTGCCACTCTCTGTGTTCATTTTTCCTGGTGTCCAAATCATCTTACTCTCCTTTCCTATGTCAATGCAGAGTTTTTTTTAGAAAAGTGAGAGGAATGTATATAATATTTATACCCTGTGTTCACAAACAAATCTTTTCCTTCATTAAATAAAAGGTCTTCCTCCCACAAGAAGGACTCTTTCTCTCCCTCACTTGACTCCTTTCCCCATCTCTTCCCTCTTCCTTTGGCACTGGAGCTTACCCTCCATACTCCTGCCTGGCAGGCCAGCCCATAATTTCTCTCCCCCCAGTATTCTATGCTTGTATTTCTTGCAATGTACACATGGTGTTGTTGCACAGAAAACATGATGTTTTAGATTTTTTTATTCAAAGCCTCACATGATTCTCCCTCTACTTAAAAAAATACATCTAAGCTAGACTGAAAAGTATTTTGGTGACTGATCTTCGAGACCAGTCATATTGGAAAATATATTAGTCAATTGCTGAAAGTGTAACACAATTTTCTACATGCCACTGACCCAAGGACTTCCAGAGAGAAATAAACTGGAAATGTATGTTTTTTTAAAAAGGAGAGTAAGGAAATAAACAGTTGTCACAGAAGTCTTTTCAATGACAGGGTTAGGAGGTCTTTGCAATGTTTGGCTCCATTCCAGTGCATACCCCATTTTACATTCTGCAGGGATTCAGGCAGCTGAAAGTTGTACCATCCGTTATGTGTGTGTCTGCTCATTCGGCAAGCACTTGATGACAGTAGGACAGTTTCTCAATCTCAGCACTACTGACATTTGGGGTCAGATTATTCTTCGTTGTGTAGGGTACTTAGCAGCATCCCTGGTCATCACCCAGTAAATGTCAGCAGTCACTCCCACCCTCCCAGCTGTGAGTTGTGACCATCAAAATTGTCCACACACATTGCCAAATGTTCCGTGGGGAACAAAGTCACCTCCAGTTGAGAAACTGCTGTTGGCTATCCCCAGTCTTAACCTGCAGACCCCAAAACACTGGGATCATAGCTAAACTGTGGGTGAACAGGACTCTACCATTTTAGGGCTCTACAGAAAGGTGTGAGCCCAGGTCCTAAACTTCTACTATAATCTAAAAAAGCATTTAAACACCCCAGGGGATGGGGTTATCATATCCTGCAGTAATTGCCCAATGATCATACCTTGCTTATGAGCACTTCTGAACTACCGGAATTCAGGCTCTTGGGTCTCTAAATTTCCCATGAACTCTCAAGTGACAAAGATACAGATATCCATGGTAGTAACATGAAAAATGAAATGTGTCACATTTTAGCAACTGACAGATAAATGTCCCAACCTACATTAAATATCTTTCACTAGAATATTATTCAATCTAGATGAGATTTTTTTTTGTTACAGAAATCTAATAAAGAGGCACAAATGGTTAAAAAAAAAAAAAGTAAAGGATTTGACAAAAGAAACGTGAAACTGAGCAGTGTAGCAGACAAATGAAAGCCTCTCCCTCACAGGAGAATAGATTTTGTTTTACTTACCCAAGCTTAACATCCAGGCATTTAAGAAAACCTGTCCCCAAATGGCCATTTCTTTTTTTATGACAAAAGGATCCTAAATATTTCTTGTTTGTGGGGAAGGAAAAAATAACTCTACTAATAAAAAACAGTTGTAGACATTTTGTAATTCTTTTTAGAAAAAAATAACTGAAGACGCATAGTCTAATTCACTGCAGCTGAAATTTCATTCACTAACTAACCACACTAATGAGCTGCTGCCCAGGGACTTCTAATTAGATTCACTGTATTTCTGTCACTGACATTAATTTCTTTACTTCAACTTCTAGAACAAGTTTAATATTTTCCGGATTTTTAAACAGGAAAAATTTAAAGATTTCAACAGTTTTTAACCAATTCTAATTTTCATAACTGCTACAGTTTTATGGCATAACATAGTATTGAATTGGAAAAACACAATGTTGGCATTCACATACATGTCAATACTCATTTTATCAAGATGCCTGGTAAGTCCATATTTGAAACTGTTGTTAATTATACTCTTTTGTTCTTTATATGTACTCTGGGCCAACAAGTCATATCCTCCAAATAAACTTACATTTAAAAAATTTGCAAAAGATTGGCTTCCAATTAGTCTTTACTTGCTAATTCCATGATTTAAAGCAAAATATTGTTTTGCTACTATTTTATTATAACTGCATTACACTGAACTTCCTGCATTATTCTCAGCATGAAAATGGAAGGCATACTTTTCAAAATAATCTTATGTGCATCTTCTATTACATGATTGAATAAATAAACACAATACAAGCATCACCCATTTTACAAATGCCAGACTTGCAAAGAACCATACATATAAATGGCCGCACCTGCTCTACCCACACCCAGGCCATGTGCTTTCCCTACCATGGAAGCCCATGGAAAAGCTCAGAACTTTTAGAAAGAATGTGGAATCCTAAATATCTGGGAGTTTTGCAGAGAGGTGACCCAGCAGAGAGCCTACAGAATGTCAGCTTCTTACTCAAAAGTATCTTCCACTATACATTGCCAGAAGTTTTGTATATCTCTTTATCACAGTCCAATATTCTTCAAATTACAAATCTCTTTTAATTAACAAGCTTCTTTAAAATGCAAATCTCTCCCAGAGAGGTAATTATTTTCTTTAATTAAGTCAGATGGCATTGCTCTTAATACCTAACTAATGTCGTCCGGAATGAAAGATTACCAAGTAGTAGAAGCAGCTGAACAGCCATAGTAGTCATGATAGTTGTGGTAGTAGTAGAAGCAAATATTTACTACATACCAGGTGCTGTGATAGGAACTCTATGTCAATTGCCTCCTTTAACCCTCTCAAACACTATGGAAAAGAAGTTCAGGGAGACAAAGTAGTGGCTCTCAAAGTGTGCTCTCTGGACCAGCAGCATCAGTATAACCTAGTAATACAAATGCAAGTTCTCAGGCCCCACCACAGATCTACTGGAATGGAAATTCTGAGCGCAGAGCTGAGAAACCTGTTTTAACAAGCTCTTCAGATGATTCTGATGCTTGCTAAAGTTGAGAACCACTGGGCTACAGATTTGCAGAAAAAGACCACATGCAGCATACATACATACACACGCTAAGTTAGGAAAAGTTCCCAACCTACTTATAAAAGAATAATGAATGTGAGCATTAGATTCTCCCACAGAGCAGATGTGGCAGAGGTGGATTGCACATGCTGGAGTCATTTGCAAGGCCCCAGAACCCCCAATAGCAGCTACTAATGCCTGTGTAAGTCATATCCAAAGAGTTAACTTTATGCTGCACCACAGTCCATTCTTTCAAAGAAACTCAATCTCTTCATTAAACATTCTCATTTAAGGGAAATGGGGGCTTATATTTGACTTTTCCTAGTTCTTGGAATAAACTGAAGACCACATTCTCAGACCCAAGAGGAAAAGCTAAGTTAGCTCTCAAGCTTCTCAAGTGGTTTCTCTGCATTCAGCTAGCTGGAGTCCCAAAAGCCTATTACCCGACAGGTAATGCTAACAGTATCCTTATTTCACAAGTTCATACACTGAAGCTCAGAGAAGTTAACTAAGTACCCAACAGCACAGGTAAGAAATCGCAAAGCCTAAACTAGAGAAACTCAAGACCAACTCCAAAATCCTATCAGCAACCCACTTATGATAAAGGAGAAAAGATAACTGGGTAATTTGTGAGCATTGTGTATTTCATAGGGAGAGCAGTTTGTTGTCATGGCAGCTGTTTTTTGGTGAGTTACCACCAAACAACCAAAAAACAAAGCTTTGGACACAGCCCATTCCTAGAGTAAGGTCTGCATATTTCATTGTTTGTCTATTTCATTCTACATTTATGTATTATTTATATTGGCATTTCTCATAATCCCGCACTATTTTTTTTTTCTATATTGACCTTCCAGAAAGACTCTCCACACAGCTCTGGGCTCCAGGTGACTGACCTCCCTGCTTTAGCTGGGCTCCCTGGCCCTCTAGTTTCTGATTGGGCTCAGCAAATGGAAAGCAGCTCCAGATCACAGAATGGGACAGGTCTGAGTGTTTATTCCCTCTATCCCTCTCTGCTATGTCAGTTTGGTAATAGCTGTGTTACCTACAGCCACAGCTCCTGGAAGACAACCCCTCTCCCAAGGGTATTGTGCTCATGGAAGCCTGGTAATAGCTTCCTTCCCTTTTACCTTCTAGCTGTTAACAGCTTTCCCTTGTCCCAGTCCCTGGGCACTTCACCATATCCTGGTGACCCCCTACATTCTGCCTACACCTTTGTAAACATTCTCATCATTGAACTGTCCTTAGAGTGGGTCATCTGCTTCCTGCTGAGATCTGGAGTGTTGCAGATCACAACTATGGACTTACAGGCACAATGCTTTTTCTATCAGATCACTATTAGCTTTATTTTTTTAATGAATCTTTCAATGTGCCAGTTTGCATCATATTGCCAGTTTCAAAAGTCATGTTACTCCATAAAGACTCTGTATTTCACAAAAAAAGCATGACTTTGTATAGTAAGTGCTCAAAATTGTATAGTAAGTGCTCAAAATGGCAAATGATATTATCACTATCATTGTTGTTATTGGTAAATTAGGAGAACTAAAAGCAATGGACATAATTTAGAGAAGGGCGGATTTGGAATTAACATAGATAAACTTTTTAACAACTATAGATTAATAAAATAGTCTTATAAATAAAATTTATAAAGCACTTTTTTGTTGGTGGTCTCATATTATTTTCACAACAATCATATGAGGTAAGTATGTCATTAGTCTCTTGTGGAGGTGTGGAAATGAAGACTTAGAGGGCGTGTAAGGGTTTACCCAAAAGCAGAGCTATTGAATGTTGGAGCTAGCAATGAAATCTTACTCTAGGGCCAGGTTCTGCCCTCACCACCCATCTGTAAGTCACAACAGGCAGCTAATAAAGGTGTGGGGAGAGAAATAGGTTGTCCAGTCCACCATGCTTGAATGGCACTCCCTTTTTTGCCTACCCTGACCTGCCCACATGAGTCACAGTTATCTGTGACTCTGGTTTGTTGTATCGTAAGATCTTGCTCTGACAAGAAAAGATAAAATAAAATGGAGGTAAGTTAGTGCTACATTACATAATCAAGCATGTGATGACTCGGGCTGGGAAGGAGTGAAGCACTGAAGGGGAAGTATATGTTGGAGTCATGATGATATAAATGCTTCTTAAATATTTGACCACTACTGAAAGCCACCTGGGAGAGAGTGAGTAATCCATAACAAACAACCGAGCACAGTGGATAGTGAGGGAGTGCATAAAACAACAGTAAGCTATGGCCTCTTTTCATCTTGAATCTTTCTAAACAACAGTGGAAAAGAGCTTCATGGGTAATGATGCAAAATTGATTGAGTGGGTTTTTCTTTATATTGGTTGATTCTCTGTGTCTACATTTCCAAACTGTAACAAGAGTCTCAGAAATTGTGGTACGTACTATGAAATTTGTGTTTGACAAATAATGATTGGAAAGGGTAATAGCCTTAGTAAACACATGGTATTAGGAGGAAAAAAACTTGGTGCTCAGCCTAACATTTGATTTTGTTAATATCAATAATGTATTAACAAGTGAATAACCTGGATTTTATCCAAACCACTCTACTATAAGTGCTTTGCTAAAACTCACCAATGGTATTTGCTTCTATAAATAACAGCCATAATTGGAATAGTTTTCTAGATACATCAGTTTATATCTTATGACAAATATTCTTTTAAAGATCTTTATCATTGCAAGCCTTTTAGAGGAACCTTTAAATTAGACGGTGAAAGTGGTGTCTGACCACCCCTGCTGTGGTACAAAAGAAAGCTCTATAGAGCTCAGAGTTCAGACCTGATCTGAGTCTCAAAGAACATATAGGTTTGGAGCTAATCAAATAAAGGGGAAGAAGACCCTCAAGATTAGGTGTGGTGAAATGCTGGTGATGGAAACTGAGGAAGACTGGAATCTATAAGAGGCTGCTGAACCTCTTAATCTACCTATAACTGCCATACTCCATCCAATCATGAGAAGGCTGGATAAAGATTTAAATTGAGGCAATGTGGAGTACCAGAAAGAGCACAGCATCCAAAGTAAAAAACACCTAGTTTCAAGTTCTGGCACCTCCAACTAGTAGTTAAATGCCGTTGCGAGTTTCTTAATCTTTGTAGGTCTGTTTCCTCATCTGCAAATAGCAGTAAAAATATCTTCCTCATGAGACTCTTGATGATTAAATGAGGGAATGCGTGTGAAGAGCCCAATATAGTGTGGGACAAGAAGTATGTCTTTAGCATATTGTGGGTGTGGTTATTGCTGTTATGTTCTAAGTACGGATTGTCCCCAGATTTGGCCAGTGACAAAATGCAAGTTTCCTGGGAGACTTGTTTCTTCTGTGGATTGTCCATCTGATGCACTGTTTTCTGCACTATTGAACATTATATGGATTTGGAAAGTCAAATGAATACAGTCTTTGCCTTTGTAGGTCTTCTAGTTGAAATGACACCAACACACATATTTGCTGATAGATGCTCACAAACATAGCCAACAACTCCAGTTAGATGGAGATGAAAGCCACCTGGGAGAGTCTCCACCTAGTAGTTAAATGCCCTGGAGTAAGTTTCCTAGCCTTATAGGTCTGTTTTCTCATCTGCAAAGTGGCAGTACAAACGTTTTCCTCGTGAGACTCCTGAGGATTAAGATGAGGGAATATGTGTGGCAACCAATAAATGCCAGATTCTTAGAATTCTTCCTGTCCATGTCCCAGTTGATGTTTTCTACAATATTGAACTTTATATTGAGTTAAAAGGATGTGATCAATTCGAGTCAGTCATCCTTGGGCTCAAATCGTAGCTCAAAACTTTATATGTATGTCTTTGGGAAAATCAGATGACTGCTCTGAGTTTGTTTCTTCTGGAAAATGGGAATAGAAAGTACATTTGTAGTGCTGTAATAAAAATTTGGAAAATTGTATATAGGGTGAATAGCATATACTAAGGACTTAATAAATAATAGTGATTACCATTGTTATTTGCCCTGCAGAGCTCTTGGCTACAATAATCAATAATCATTCTTTTCTCTTGTTCATCTCAACTTCAAGATACTCCCTGAGTGATTTTCTCAGTATTAAAAGAAACTTTCCCAATGAATAGAATGCCCCTTTTCACCCCCCTGGAATAAAAACTAAGATTCACATAATGTTTTAACCTTCACAAAGCGTACTCGAATATATTACTGCATGTAACCCTCACAACAACCCTGTGAGGCAGAAGTAGTGCCATTTTACAGGTGTGGGTGTCCATTTGGAACAAGGCTAAGTAGATTGTCCGTGATAACTCAGTCAGAAAGTGGCAGGAAGCTGAAACACCAGCCCAGTGCTTCTGTCAACAAAGCTCACATCCTTTCAGCTCTCCAGAGTCTCTCTCCTCTGTATTTTGCTGCCTTCACCAATCAGAGGAAGTGAAAATATTCTTTGGCATATGCGCGATCACTAGAAATGAATTCACCATGGGAAGAAGAAAAGGTTAGAATTTCTCACCTTGTAAGTCCATTGACCAGTGAGGAGCCCGGCTTTCTCTCTAGATAGATAGATAGATAGATAGATAGATAGATAGATAGATAGATAGATGGATGGATGGATGGATGGATGGATGGATGGATGGATAGATAGATAGATAGATAGATAGATAGATAGATAGATAGATAGATAGACACGTGTGTGTATATATATAGATATGTGTGTACATATGTATACATGTGTATACATTACACACATGTATACATATGTGCGTATATATGTGTATATAATGTATATATGTGCAATAGTGCATGTCGTGCATATATGTGTATATATGTATATAAAAATGTGTATTTTTATATATATATACACACATACACAGCATTTTGTTTATTCATTCATGTATAATTGACACTTGGGTTGTTCCCACCTTTGGCTATTATGAATAATACTGCAACATACGTTGGAATGCAGGTATATGTTTGAGCCCCTGTTTTCAATTCTTTGGAGTGAAAATATATACATGGGGTGGAATTTTATGTTCAAATATTGAGAAACTTCCAAACTGTTTTCTAAAACAGCTATACCCTTTTATATTCTCCCCACATTACAAAAGGTTTCCAGTTTCTTTACATCCTCATCAACACTTATTTTTCATTTTTAAAATTAAAACCCATCTAGAAGGTGTGACGTAGTATCTCACTGTGATTTTGCTTTCTCTTTTTCTAAAGACTAATAAATGATCATTTATTGTATTTATTGCCCATATGTACATGTTCTTTGGAGAAATCTCTATTCAATCCTTTGACCATTTTTAATTGAATTTTTGTCTCATTGTTGAATTGTAGTTCTTTACATATTTTGTAGATATTAAATCCTTATTGGATATATAACTTACAAATATTTTTCTTCCATCCTGTGAGTTTTGTATTCATTCTCTTGATACTGTCCTTTGATGTAGACAAATGTTTTTAATTTTGATGAAGTGTGATCTGCTCATTTTATTTCATTGCATATGCTTTTGGTGTGATATTTATGAACTGAGTGCCAAATACAAGGTCATGAAAATTTTTCACTGTTTTTTTTCTAAGAGTTTTACTGCTTTAGCTCTTATAGCTAGGTTAATTTTTATATATGGCATGAGACTGGGGAGAATACCAGCTTTCGACCACCATTTCTACATCAAATAAGAATACTCAAGTAAAGACAACAGTTTCCTAAAATGTAGGCATTTATGGGTTTCTTAGTATCTACTCTTAAGTCATCCATCTAGCTGGAGTTGTTGGCTACATTTGTGAGCATCTATCAGCAAATATATGTGTTGGTGTCACTTGAACTAGAAGACCTACAAAGGCAAAGACTGTATCCACTTGATGTAACAAATCCATACAATGTTCAATAGTGAGGAAAGCAGTGCATCAGATGGACAATCCACAGAAGAAACAAGTCTCCCAGGAAACTTGCATTTTGTCACTGACCAAATCTGGGGACAATCCGTACTTAGAACATAACAGCAATAACCACACCCACAATATACTAAGGACATACTTCTTGTCCCACACTATATTGGGCTCTTCACACACATTCCCTCATTTAATCATCAAGAGTCTCATGAGGAAGATGTTTTTACTGCTATTTGCAGATGTGGAAAAAACCTGCAAAGGTTAAGAAACTTGCAAGGGCATTTAACTACTAAGCAGAGGTGCCAGAACTTGAAGCCAGGTGTTTCTAATTCTGGACGCTGTGCTCTTTTTACTATCCCACATTGCCTCCATTTAACCCTTTACCTGTCTTTTTATGTTTGCATAGATGAGTGAAAGTTATAGGTGTATTAAGAGGTCCAGCAGATTCGTCCAGAATTCAGACTGCCCTAGCCCCATCAGTATTTCTCCTTCTGCAATTACCAGCATTTCTAACCTGGAAAGGTTTCTCCCTCTCCATTCCACCTATCCAACTCCTACATATCCTTCAAGAACTAGTACAGATCTTGCCTCCCCAGAATGCCTACTTTACTCACTTTCAGCCAAATTAATATCCTTTATCCTTGACCTACTAAACCACTCTTAGCTGGATTCATGTATTTTAACACTTAACCACATCCTGTGATATAGTCCTTTTATTTATTTATTTATTTATTTATTTATTTTCAAATACTTTGCAGATATTATTGCTAATTCTAACAATGACCCTTTGGCACCTCTCCCACTTTGTAGACAAAAAACCAATTCAAAATAGTTCTGTGACTTTCTGAAAGCCACAAAATGAATAACAAAGCTGGGATTTGAACCCAACTCAATATGGTCTCCTTCCACTACATCACACTGTCTTTCTAGGGCCAATGTATAGATGGCCTTGAATGCCAAACAGCTTTCTATCTCTGGAAACATAACTTTTGTGAGACTCTCATATTATTTTTTAAAGAGTTAGGTAAGCTAGCTCAGCTGTTTTAAAATTAGGCTGGCATAAATCTTACCTGTGGACTTCATTAAAAACAAAGATTTCCAAATGCAGTATGCCTACAACCTTTTTCACCTATTACATGATGAAGTAACATGGTATAGTTGGATTCTGGCCTTGATTGGCCACTAACTAGCATTGTGACTTTGAGTAAGTCACTTGACCTCTCTGAGCCTCATTTTTCTCATCTTCAAATAGATATTCTCCAAAGTTATCTCTAGTTTTAAAAATATTGTTTCCATGGCTATAAGTCTTGACTCCTTGAGAAGAATGCAAGTTTTTCAAAAGCTTATATTTTGTTTTTCTCTGTAACATCAGACCAAGAGAAAGCACTGAATAAATACTTGTCAGTAGTTTGACTGATGGACTAAGATATGGGTTGAAAATGATAAGCAAAAAAAAATAACATGAAGAATGGGATGTGAAAGAGACCTAATGTAACTATTAAAGTTCTAGGTGAGTAATCAGCAACATAGACTAAAAGTGGGTTCATCTGCAATAAAAAATAAACTGGAAATAATTCGTTCATTTTAAATAAAGCCCTAAAAATCAACCATTTTCAATGGATAAGGCAAAAATGTGCCACTGCCATAGACTTTACAGCAAACAGATAAGCATATATTTGGGTCATAACTCATACAGATGAGAACCCACCTTTGTTGTTTGTAAAGGAAGAAAACAAAATTGTTCAAAATATGCCAGTGGTTTGCCACATTTTAACAAATACTGAAGCAATACACTGACATATAAAGTGTCCTTTTCTAGCTAGCTTCTATGTCAATGTGTTCAGAGTAAAAGGCAATTAAAATTGTGTGAAAAAGAGTGACAATGTATAGGGGATCATCAAAATAATAAGAACCATATATGACAAATCCACAGCCAACATCATCCTGAATGGGCAAAAGCTGGAAGCATTCCCCTTGAAAACCAGTACAAGACAAGGATGCGCTCTCTCTCCATTCCTATTCCACATAGTATTGGAAGTTCTGGCCAGAGCAATCAGGCAAGAGAAAGAAACAAAGGGCGTCCAAATAGGAAGAGAGGAAGTCAAACAATCCCTGTTTCAAGATGACATGATCCTATATTTAAAAAAAAAAAAAATCCCATAGTGTTAGTCCAAAAGCTCCATAAGCTGATAAAAAGAATTCAGCTACTTGGAACCAACCCAAATGTCCATCAATGATAGACTGGATTAAGAAAATGTGGCACATACACACCATGGAATACTATGCAGCCATAAAAAAGGATGAGTTCATGTCCTTTGTAGGGACATGGATGAAGCTGGAAACCATCATTCTCAGCAAACTATCGCAAAGACAAAAAACCAAACACCGCATGTTCTCACTCATAGGTGGGAATTGAACAATGAGAACACATGGACACAGGAAGGTGAACATCACACACTGGGGCCTGTCATGGGGTGGGTGGAGGGGGGAGGGATAGCGTTAGGAGATACATCTAATGTAAATGACGAGTTAATGAGTGCAGCACACCAACATGGCACATGTATACATATGTAACAAACCTGCACGTTGTGCACATGTAACCTAAAACTTAAAGTATAATAATAAAAAAAAAGAAATGCATGATGGGGCTCAACTGTACAGATGCCAGTGTGAGGTGTCCTAAAGACTCACTCCCTAGTAAATCTGGTGAAAATTATTATTGTAAAAAAAAAATCAACAAAGTCTCAGGGTAAAAAATCAATGTGCAAAAATCACTAGCATTTTTACACACCAATCACAGGCAAGCCAAGAGCAAAATTAGGAATGCAATCCCTTTCACAATTGCCACAAAAGAAAAAAATACCTAGGAATACAGCTAACTAGGGAGGTGAAAGATCTCTGCAAGGAGACCACAAACCACTGCTCAAAAGAATCAGAGATAACACAAATGAAAAAAATATTTCATGCTCATGGAAAGGAAGAATCAATATCATGAAAATGGCCATACTGCCCAAAGCGTTTTATAGATTCAATGCCATTTCTATTAAACTACCATTGACATTCTTCACAGAACTAGAAAAAACTACTGTAAAATTCATATGTAACCAAAGAAGACCCTGAATAGCCAAGGAAATCCTAAGCAAAAAAGAACAAAGCTGGAGGCATGAGGCTACCTGACTTCAAACTATGCTACAGGGCTACAGTAACCAAAACAGCATGGAACTGGTACAAAAACAGACACATAGACCAATGAAACAGAATAGAGAATCCAGAAGTAAGATTGCACACCTGTAACTACCTTATCTTCAACAAACCTGACAAAAACAAGCAACAGGGAAATGATTCCTATTCAATAAATGGTTCTGGGATAACTGGATTGCCATGTACAGAAGATTAAAATTGGACTTTTTCCTTATACCATGTATTAATCCATTTTCTTATTGCTATGAAGAAATATCCAAGACTGGGTAATCTATAAAGAAAAATAGGTTTAATGGACTCACACTTCCACATGGCTTGGGAGGCCTCACAATCATAGCAGAAGGTAAAGGAGGAGCAAAAGCACATCTTACATGGCAGCACGCAAGACAGCGTGTGCAGAACTGCCATTTATAAAACCAACAGATCTCATGAGACTTATTATCACAGAACAGCACAAGAAAAGCCCACCCCCATGATTCAATTACCTCCCACCTGGTCCCTCCCATGGAACATGGGGATTATAGGAGCTACAATTCAAGATGAGATATGGGTGGGGACTTAGCCAAACCATATCATACCATATACAAAAATTAACTCAGGATGGATTAAAAACTTAAATATAAAACCCAAACTATGAAAACCCTGGAAGACAACATAGACAATAACATTCAGCACATAGTCACGGGCAAAGGTTTCATGACAAAGACACCAAAAGCAGTTGCAACAAAAGCAAAACTTTACAAATGGGACCTAATTAAACTAAAGAGCTTCTACACAGTAAAAGAAACTGTCAACAGAGTAAACAGACAACCTACAGAACAGGAGAAAATTTTTGCAAACTACACAAGTGACAAATGTCTAATATGCAGCATATGTAAGAAACTTAAACAAATTCACAAGAAAAAAACTAACAACCTCAAAAAAGTGGTCAAAGAACACGAATATACACCTGTCAAAAGAAGACGTACATGCAGCCAAAAAGTATATGAAAAAAAGCTCAACATCACTGATCATTAGAGAAATGCAAATCAAAACCACAAAGAGATACCATCTCACACCAGTCAGAATGGCTATTATTAAAAAGTCAAAAAGTAACAGATGCTGGTGAGGTTGTAAAGAAAATGAAATGCATATACACCATTGTTTGGAGTGTAAATTAGTTTAACCATTGTAGAAGACAGTGTGGTGATTCCTCAAAGACCTAAAAACAGAAATACCATTCAAAACAGCAATCCCATTCGACGCAAGAATCCCTTTATATGGTGATATGGTTTGGCTGTGTTCCCACCCAAATCTTCTCTTGAATTGTAGCATTCATAATTCCCACATGTTATGGGAGGGGTCTGGTGGGAGGTAATTGAATCATGGGATTGGGTCTTTCCCATGCTGTTCTCGTGATAGTGAATAAGTCTCATAAAATCTGATCGTTTTATAAAGGGGAGTTTCCCTGAACATACTTTCTCTTGCCTGCCACCATGTAAGACATGACTTTTCTCCTCCTTTGCCTTCTGCCATGATTGTGAGGCCTCCTCAGCCATATGGAACTATGATCTCCTATTTTGTTCTTTTGGGTCAGTTACTTCCAATCTAAATCACACATGATAAGTGCCATCAAATAATAAGTGATGGCAGACACAATTATACTAAGAAGGAGGTTGAGAAATTAAAATTCTGGGGTACTCAGGTGAAACCGGTACATTATAGCTACCTGAAAATTATGTTTTTTTAATTTGCCTTTGTAATATAGAATGTATGCAGAAAAGTAGGAAATGAAGGATAGGAGCAGTAACTGCTTAGAAATGCATCTACTTTTATTTATATCTCAAAAATTTTTTCAAAGCAAATATGGCTAAGTTTGGTAGTGAAAAGAATAAAATATTTCCTAAAGTATTCTTTGCAGAGTTTAATATCTTTATTTGTAAACTTTGGTAAATTAAAAATTAATAATAATAATTCTTAAATATTTTAAGTCTGCCTCAACAGATCTTTAATCATTACCCTTTATAAAGATATATTTATAAAAATATTGTGAAAGCATTCTTTGAATTATCTCTTTTTATTGAAATATAACTTGCAAATCATGAAATTCATGGTTTTGAAGTGTACAATTCAGTGGCTTTAGTACATTCACAAAGTTGTTCAACTCTGTAGTGGGTTGAATGGTGGCCTCTCAAAAGATACATTTACCCAGATCCTGTGAATATGACTTTATTTTTTAAAAGATGTAATTAAGTTAAGCTTCACAAAATGAATTCAGCTAGGATTATTCAATGGGTCTTCAATCCAATGGAAAGTATTCGGATCAAAAGAAGAAAAGACACAAAGGAGGAGAAACACAGAGGAGAAGATGATGTGGAGATGGAGGCAAAGATTGGACCAATGTGTCTGCAAACCAAGGAATGCCAAGAATTGCCAGCAGCCCACCAGAAGGTAGGAGAAAAGCAGTTAATGACTTCTTTCTCAGAGCCTCCACAAATGAACTAACCCTGCCAACATATTGGTTTTGGACTTCTGGCCTCTAGAATAATGAGATAATAAATTTCTGTTGTTTTAAGCAACCAAGTTTGTAGTAATCTGTTACGGCAGCCCTAAGAAACTAATACAAATCCTTATCACTATCTAATTTCAGAAAATTTTCATTATTGCCAAAAATAAACCCATTAGCAGTCCTCCCCATCTATCACCCCCAGCAATAACTACTCTACTTTCTGTCTCTATGAATTTGCCAATTCTGGGCATGTTATATAAATAGAATCAGACAACATGTGGCCTTTTGTGTCTGGCTTCTTTTACTTAGCATAATGATTTCAAGGTTCATTCATGTGGTTGCATATAGTATTATTCCATTCCTTTTTTTGGCTGAGTAATATTTTATTGTGTGGATATACTATATTTTGTGTATCCTTTCATTAACTGATGCACGTTCGTATTCTTATTATGGTTCTCATTTTTTTTGGCTACTATGAACAATACTACAATGATCATACATGTACATGGTTTTGTGAGGGTATGTTTTCAATTCTCTTGAGCATATAAATATACCCAGTTCTCTTGGTTATATAGATATCCATTTGATTTTGGTTACCTTATTTGTTGGTATATAATTATTCATATTATTCACTTATAATCCTTTTATTTCTGTAAGGTATCCCTTTTTTCATCCTTGATTTTAGTCATCAGAGCCTTCTTTTTTTTTTTTTCAGTCAGCCTAGCTTAATGTTTGTCAATTTTGTTGCTCTTTTTAAAGAACCAACTTCTGGCCTTGTTGATTTCCTCTATTATTTATCTATTCTGTATCTCATTTATTTCCAGTCTAATCTTTAGTATTTCCTTTCTTAAGTTTGCATTGGATTTTGTTTGCTTTTATTTTTCGGGTTTCTTAAAACTGTAAGTTACACCGGGCACAGTGGCTCATGACTGTAATCCCAGCACTTAGGGAGGCTGAGGCAGTCAGATTACGAGGTAAGGATATCGAGACCATCCAGGCCAACAAGGTGAAACCCCGTCTCTACTAAAAATACAAAAAGTAGCTGGGCATGGCGGTGCGTGTCTGCAATCCATCTACTCAGGAGGCTGAGGGAGGAGAATCACTTGAACCAGGGAGTGGGAGGTTGCAGTGAGCCGAGATCATGCCACTGCACTCCAGCCTGGTGACACAGCAAGACTCCAAAAAAAAAAAAAAAAAAAAGCTGCAAGCTAAGCTACTGATTTAAGATCTTTCTTCTTGAAGAGACAGAAGAATCAAATAGATGCAATAAAAAATGATAAAGGGGATATCACCACTGAGCCCACAAAAATACAAACTACCATCAGAGAATAATATAAACACATCTACACAAATAAACTAAAAAATCTAGAAGAAATGGATAAATTCCTGGACACATACACCTCCCCAAGACTAAACCAGGAAGTTGAATCTCTGAATAGACCAATAACAGATTCTGAAATTGAGGCAGTAATTAATAGTCTACCAACCAAAAAAGTCCAGGACCAGATGGATTCACAGCCGAATTCTACCCGAGGTACAAAGAGGAGCTGGTAACATTCCTTCTGAAACTATTCCAATCAATGGAAAAAGAGGGCATTCTCCCTACCTCATTTTATGAGGCAACCATCATCTTGATACCAGTCTGGCAGAGACACAACAAAAAAAAGAGATTGTTAGACCCCTGATGAACATTGATGCAAAAATCCTCAATAAAATACTGGCAAACTGAATCCAGCAGCACATCAAAAAGCTTATCCACCATGATCAAGTCGGCTTCATCAATGGGATGCAAGGCTGGTTCAACATACATACAGCAATACATGTAATCCATCACATAAACAGAACCAATGACAAAAACCACATGATTATCTCAATAGATGCAGAAAAGGCCTTAGACAAAATTCAACAGCCCTTCATGTTAAAAACACTCAATAAACTAGGTATTGATGGAACGTATTTCAAAATAAGAAGAGCTATTTATGTCAAACCCACAACCGATATCATACTGAATGGGCAAAAACTGGAAGCATTCCCTTTGAAAACCAGCACAAGCACAAGACAAGCCTGCCCTCTCTCACCGCTCCTATTCAACATAGTGTGGGAAGTTCTGGCAAGGACAATCAGGCAAGAGAAAAAAAATAAAGGGTATTCAATTAGGAAAAGAGGAAGTCAAATTGTCCCTGTTTGCAGATGACATGATTGTATATTTAGAAAACCCCATCATCTCAGCCCAAAATCTCCTTAAGCTGATGAGCAAATTCAACAAAGTCTCAGGATACAAAATCAATGCATTCCTATGCACAAACAACAGACAGAGAGCCAAATCATGAGTGAACTCCCATTCACAATAGCTATAAAGAGAATAAAATACCTAGGAATCCAACTTGTAAGGGATGTGAAGGACCTCTTCGAGGAGAACCACAAACCACTGCTCAATGAAATAAAAGAGGACACAAACAAATGGAAGAACATTCCATGCTCATGGATAGGAAGAATCAATATTGTGAAAATGGCCATACTGCCCAAAGTAATTTATAGATTCAATGCCATCTCCATCAAGCTACCAATGACTTTCTTCACAGAATTAGAAAAAACTACTTTAAAGTTCATATGGAACCACAAAAAAGCCTGCATAGCCAAGACAATCCTAAGCAAAAAGAACAAAGCTGGAAGCATCACGCTACCTGACTTCAAACTATACTACAAGGCTACAGTAACCAAAGCAGAAGGATACTCATACCAGAACAGATATATACACAAATGGAACAGAACAGAGGCCTCAGAAATAATACCACACATCTACAACCATCTGATCTTTGACAAACCTGACAAATACAAGCAATGAGGAAAGGATTCCCTATTTAATAAATGGTGCTGGGAAAACTGGCTAGCCATATGTAGAAAGCTAAAACTGGATCCCTTCCTTACACCTTATAAAAAAATTAACTCAAGATGGATTTAAAGACTTAAATGTAAGACCTAAAACCATAAAAACCCTAGAAGAAAACCTAAGCAATACCAGTCAGTACATAGGCATGGGCAAAGACTTCATGACTAAAACACCAAAAGCAATGGCAACAAAAGCCAAAATAGACAAATGGGATCTAATTAAACTAAAGAGCTTCTGCACAGCAAAAGAAATTATCATCAGAGTGAACAGGAAACCTACAGAATGGGAAAAAATTTTTGCAATCTACCCATCTGACAAAGGGCTAATATCCAGAATCTACAAAGAACTCAAACAAATGTACAAGAAAAAAACAACCCCATCAAAAAGTGGGCAAAGAATATGAGCAGACACTTCTCAAAAGAAGACATTTATGTAGCCAACAGACACATGAAAAAAGCTTATCATCACTGGTCATCAGAGAAATGCGAATCAAAACCACAGTGAGATACCATCTCACACCAGTTAGAATGGTGATCATTAAAAAGTCAGGAAACAACAGGTGCTGGAGAGGATGTGGAGAAATAGGAATGCTTTTACACTGTTGGTGGGAGTGTAAATTAGTTCAACCATTGTGGAAGACAGTGTAGTGTTTCCTCGATGATGAAGAACTAGAAATACCATTTGACCCAGCAATCCCATTACTGAGTATAAACCCAAAGGATTATAAATCATGCTACTATAAAGACACATGTATGTTTATTGCAGCACTATTCACAATAGCAAAGACTTGGTTGGCATCAACCCAAATGTCCATCAGTGATAGACTGGATTAAGAAAATGTGGCACATATACACCATGGAATACTATGCAGCCATAAAAAATGATGAGTTCATGTCCTTTGAAGGGACATGGATGAAGCTGGAAACCATCATTTTCAGCAAACTGTCACAAGGACAGAAAACCAAACACTGCACGTTCTCACTCTTAGGTGGGAGCTGAACAATGAGAACACGTGGACATAGGGCGGGGAACATCACACAACGGGGCCTGTCAGGGGGTAGGGGGCTGGGGGAGGGATAACATTAGGAGAAATACCTAATGTAAATGACAAGTTGATGAGTGCAACAAACCAACAGGGCACATGTATACCTATGTAACAAACCTGCATGTTGTGCACATGTACCCTAGAACTTAAAGTATAGTTTAAAAAAAAGAAAAAAGATATTTCTTCTTTGTTAATATGTGCATTTACAGTTACAAATTTCCTTCTAAGCACTGATTTATCTGAATCCCATCAGTCTTATTATGTTGTGCTTTATTTCATTCATCTCAAAGTATTTTCTAATTTCCCTTGTAATTTCTTTTTTCATCCATTGATTATTTAAGAGTCTGTTGTTTGATTTCCACATATTTGTAAATTTCTCAAACTTCCTTTTGTTATTTATTCTTCAGTTCATTGCATTGTAGTCAGAGAACATACCTTATATTATTTCAGTCCTTTTAAATGTATTGATACTTGATTTATGGCCTAACATATGGCCTATCCTAAATAATACTCCATATGCATTCTAGAAGAATGTATATTCTGCTGTTGTTAAATTGTTTATTTCTCTTTTCAAGTCTACCACTTTTTTCTTCATGTAATTTGGAGCTCTACTGTTATATGCATATACATCTATATTTTTATGTTTGTTTTCTTGACATGTTGATCCTTTTACCATTATAAAGAGTTTTTTCTTTGTCTCTAGTAACAATTTTTTAAAAATCTAGTAACAATTTTTATAGCCACTCCAGCTCTCTTTTGGTTACTGTTTGCATGGTATGTCTTTTTCTGTCTTTTATTTTCAACTTGTGTTTTTGAATCTAAAGAGTATCTCTTTTAGACAATATGTAGTTGGATTATGTCTTTTTATTCATTTTGCCACTCTCTGCCTTTTGATTGAAATGTTTACTCATTTACATTTAATGTAATTACTGATAAAAGTAGGATTTATGTCTACCATTTTGCTTTTTGTTTTCTATGTGTTTTGTGTCTTCTTTGTTTCTCTATTCATTTATTTGCAACTTCTTTGTCTAGTTTGAAGTTGCAATTATGCTACAAACTTTAAAATAGGGACATTATCCTAGATAGAGCAGCTCTAAAAAGTGGAAGCAGAAGGCAGAAGGGTAAATCAGTGACATCTGAGGAGGAAGAAGCAGCAGAAGGGATTTGAAGTACTGACAAACCAGGAACTTGGTAGCTCACAACAACACAAAGTTATGCCCTTACAGTTGTGTCAGAAGTCTGACATGGGCCTCACCAGACTAATATAAAGGTGTTTGCAGAGCTGCATTCCTTTCTGGAGTCTTGAAAATGGTTTGGATGTCGACCCCTCTAAGTCCCATATTGAAATGTAATCCCCAGTGTTGGAGGTGGAGCCTGGTGTGAGGAGTTGGGGTCATGGGGGCAGATCCCAACAGTGAGTGAGTTCTCACGAGTTCTGGTTGTTTAAGGATGTGTGGCACTTCCCTCTACACACACACACACACACACACACACTCTCTCTCTCTCTCTCTTGCTCTTGTTCTCACCATGTGAGATGCCTGCTTCCCCTTTGCCTTCACTATGATTGAAAGTTTCCTGAGGGCTCTCCAGAAGCCAAGTGTATGCCAGTGCCCTGCTTGTATAGCCTGCAGAACCATGAGCCAATCAAACCTCTTTTCTTTACAAACTACTTTAATTACCCCATCTTAAGTATTTCTTTATAGCAATGCAAAAAGCTAATACAAGTCTCTAGGAAAAAAATATATTTCCTTGCCCATTCAGGTTGGTCACAGAATTCAGTGCCATGTAGTGGTAGAACTGAGTTCCCTGTTTTCTTGCTGGCTGTCAACTAAGAACCATTCCCAGCTTCTCTATGTTGCCTACTTTTTTTTTTTTTTTTTTTTTTTTTTGGCTTGTAGCCTCCTTCCTCCATCTTCAAAGCCAGCAATGGTGGGTCAAGTTCCTCTCACACTTCAAATCCCTTCTGCCTCTTCTTCCTCCTCAGATGTCACTGATCTACCCTTCTGCCTTCTGCTTCTACTTTTAAGAGCTGCTTAATCCAGACTAATGTCTCTATTTTAAAATTTGTAACATAATTGCAACTTCAAATTTCCTTTTCCCACATAACATACTATATCACATATTCCAGGGATTACGGCACGAATATCTTGGATGGGACGTGGAAGAGGGACATGATTCTGCTTACCCCACTAGAGATCAGATAACTTATGTGACAAAGCTAGCAAGAGGAAGAACTGGAAGTACAATGCAGTCCTTGTTCAGTACTCATTTCACTACATTTGATGCACAGTAGTGTAATAATGTAAACACCAAACTGCCTATATGATCCCTTCAGAGACATTTTGGCCAATCTGCTACTTTTGAGACTAGAATCATAGGCTGTTACAGCTGAAGGCACATCAGTCCAGCCCCATTATTTCACAGGGGAGGAAAACAAGGCCCAGGGAAGTTAAGATCCCAACCTCAGTTCCCAGAAAACTCAGAACCACAACTCAGCCTCTCCAGACTTCCAGTTCATGTGATTTTTTTATAATTTTTTTAGTTAAACATGAATTCTCACAAGATACATCATCCACTTAAATTAACCTTATACTACTTAACTATTATCAGCCATGCAAAACTTGGCCAGTTGGCCGGGCACGGTGGCTCACGCCTATAATCCCAGCACTTTGGGAGGCCGAGGCTGGCAGATCACGAGGTCAGGAGATCAAGACCATCCTGGCTAACACAGTGAAACCCCGTCTCTACTAAAAATACAAAAAATTAGCTGGGCGTGGTAGCGGGCTCCTGTAGTCCCAGCTACTTGGGAGGCTGAGGCAGTAGAATGGCGTGAACCCGGGAGGCGGAGCTTGCAGTGAGCCGAGATCGCGACACTGCACCCCAGCCTGGGCGACAGAGGAAGACTCCGTCTCAAAAAAATAAAAAAAACAAACTTGGCAGGTAAACTTACATTATTCCTGTACTGTTAACCACTTCCATCTACCCATGACTTTCTAACTTCATCCCAATTATATTTTATGACATATTTTTCTCACAACTGCTTGAGCCTCTATATAAACACAGATTTTTATATAGATTCCACTTCACAAAATGATCAAAGCAGAAAGACTATATGTATTTCATTTCTTTTCTGTGTGCTGATTATTATTAAGTCCCACCCAGAAAAACATTCTCTTATGATTTCTCTAAACTGTACTTCAGGTTACTTATAACAAGCCAGAGAAATAGAAAGAGAAAGAGGCTGCTCACATCATTACTCCACACTCCACCCTGAGTCAATCCTATAAATTCTATTGGCTCTGAGATTGAAAATAGTAGGAGGGCCACTTTATTGAAGCTACTACATTTAGACCTTTCCTGACTAGATCATGTTAGACGTATATTACAGTCCATTTTCAGTCACTTGCACTTACAGAACACAGGCATATGGAACTCAAATGCCATTTCTATTGGACTTTACGTTTTATGATTTTTTATACCATACTAACATTTATGTGTTTTTCTCTCGGCTAGAAATAAAATCAATATTTATGGAGCAGGAGACACTGGTGGCAACCTAGTTTCCCATCCCTAACCTGCTAAGTCCCAGCCCCACCCATGACACACCTGTCTGTCCCTCTAAAATCAGCTAAGGCTCATTTATGATTAGTTGTCCTCCTCAGCACTTGTTGATCCCCTTGCTTATTATACACCATAAAAATTAGTTAAATCTTGGACAATCCCCTCACATTCCAGTAGATTTCTCTAAAACCAGGATCAACAAACTTGAGACCCAATATCTTTCCTGCAGGACACTTTAAAATGTCTCTGTACCTTTACTCGGTCTCATTTTCTTCTCTTCCTCCTCAAAAGAATGGACATCTCTCTTCCTGTTCAATGCTAACACTTTGACTAGTATATTCACTTCATTCTCATCCATTTCCTTTTTATTGTGAGACAGAATCTGGCTCTGTGCCCAGGCTCAAGTGCAGTAGCGTGATCTCGACTCACTGCAACCTCCACCTCCCAGGTTCTAGTGATTCTCGTGCCTCTAGCCATTCTCATGCTATACTCTATAATTATGATACTTTAATTGTCATGTAACCCTGTAAAGCACCGTTATTAGAAGACGTCATCATAATACTCATCTTGTAATCATATCTATCTTTAAAAAATGTTTGCAAACCTGCTTAATAAAAATCTATGGAATTTAAACAAATAAAAATTATTCCCTAAAAGCCACAATTTGGAGGCATCATGCTACCCAACTTCAAACTATACAACAGGGCTACAGGCTACAGTAACCAAAACATCATGGTACTGAAACAAAAAAAATAGACACATAGACCAATGGAATAGAATAGAGAGCTTAGAAATAAGGCTGCACACCTAAAACCATCTGATCTTTGACAAAGCTGACAAAAACAAGCAATGGGGAAAGTCCTCCCTATTCATTAAATGGTGCTGGGATAACTGGATAGCCATATGCAGAAGATTGCAACTGGACCCCTTCTTTATACCATAAACAAAAATGAACTCAAGATGGATCAAAGACAAAGATAAAACCCAACACTATAAAAACCCTGAAAGACAACCTAGGCTATACCATTTGCAAACTATACATGTGGCAAAGGCCTAATATCCAGCATCTATAAGGAACTTAAACAAACTTTCAAGAAAAAAAACTAACAACCTCATTAAAAAGTCGGCAAAGGACATGAACAGACACTTTTCAAAAGAAGACGTACATTCAACTAACAAACATATGAAAAAAAGGCCAACATCACTGATCACTAGAGAAATGCAAATCAAAACCACAATGAGATACCATCCCACACCAGTCAGAATGGCTATTACTAAAAAGTCAAAAAATAACAGGTGCTGTCAAGATTGTAAGGAAAAAGGAACGCTTATACACTGTTGGGGGCGGTGGGGGTTGTAAATTGGTTCAATCATTGTGGAAAACAGTGTGACAATTCCTCAAAGACCTAAAAACATAACTGCTATTTGAACTCAACACCCCCATTACTGGGTATATACACAAAGGGATATAAACCATTCTACCATAAAGACATTATGCACAGGTAGGTTCATCGCAGCTCTATTCACAACAGCAAAGACCTGGAATCAACCTAAATGCCCATCAGTGATAGACTGAATAAAGAAAAGATGGTGCATTTACACCATGGAACACTATGCAGCCATAAAAAAAGAATGAGATCATGTCTTTTGCAGGAACAGGAATGGAGCTGTAGTCCATTGTCCTTAGCAAAATAATGCAGGAAGAGAAAACCAAATACTGCATGTGCTCACTTGTAAGTGGGAGATAAATGATGGGAACACATGGACACATAGAGGGGGAAAAACACACATTGGGGCCTACCGGAGGGTGTAAGGTGGGAGGAGGGAAAGGGTCAGGAAAATAACTAAGGTACTAGGCTTGATACCTGGGTGATGAAATAAATGTGTACAACAAACCCTCATGACACAGGTGTACCTGTATAACAAACGTGCGCATGCACACCTGAACTTAAAATAAAAGTTAAAGTCACAATTAGAGTTACTCACTTTTTAACACCAAAACCCTTAGACTTAAGAAAAATCAGAGGAGACTTAGAAAAATTAATATTATGGAGTGGAACTAAAGGAAAGTAAATGTATGGTGCTCCTCCCCGTCCCTGTTTCTAAGGATATTTGGGCAATCAGCTTACAATACTAATTATATCTGAGTTTTGTCAATTCGGATCATGGAACAAAAAGGAAAAAAACCTTTTTCTAGAAAATGAAAGAGAATTGAAAAATGGCATAAGTATTGATAACTTCTAAAAATGGAGTATGTTTGAACAGGATAGCATTGAATCTATAAATTACTTTGGGCACTATGGCCATTTTCACAGCATTGATTCTTCCTATCCATGAGCATGGAACGTTTTTCCATTTGTTTGTGTCCTCTCTTATTTTGCTAAGCAGTGGCTTGTAGTTCTCCTTGAAGAGGTCCTTCACATCCCTTGTAAGTTGGATTCTTAGGTATTTTATTCTCTTTGTAGCAATTGTGAATGGGAGTTCACTCATGATTTGGCTCTCTGTTTGCCTGTTATTGGTGTATAGGAATGCTTGTGATTTTTGCACATTGATTTTGTATCCTGAGACTTTGCTGAAGTTGCTTGTCACCTTAAGGAGATTTTGGGCTGAGACAATAGGGTTTTCTAAATATGCAATCATATCATCTGCAAACAGAGACAATTTGACTTCCTCTCTTCCTATTTGAATACTCTTTATTTCTTTCTCTTTCCTGATTGCCCTGGCCAGAACTTCCAACGCTATGTTGAATAGGAGTGGTGAGAGAGGGCATCCTTGTCTTGTGCCAGTTTTCAAAGGAAATGCTTCCAGCTTTTGCCCATTCAGTATGATATTGGCTATGAGTTTGACATAAATAGCTCTTATTATTTTGAAATACGTTCCATCAATACCTAGTTTATTGAGTGTTTTTAGCATGAAGGGGTGTTGAATTTTATCAAAGGCCTTTTCTGCATCTATTGAGATAATCATGTGGTTTTTGTCACTGGTTCTGTTTATGTGATGGATTACATTTATTGATTTACGTATGTTGAACCAGCCTTGCATCCCATTGATGAAGCCGACTTGATCGTGGTGGATAAGCTTTTTGACGTGCTGCTGGATTCAGTTTGCCAGTATTTTATTGAGGATTTTTGCATTGATGTTCATCAGGGATATTGGCCTATAATTTTCTTTTTTTATTGTATCCCTGCCAGATTTTGGTATTAGGATGATGCTGGCCTCATAAAATGAGTTAGGGAGGAGTCTCTCTTTTTCTATTGTTTGGAATAGTTTCAGAAGGAATGTTACCAGCTCCTCTTTGTGCCTCGGGTAGAATTCAGCTGTGAATCCATCTGGTCCTGGGCTTTTATTTGTTGGTGGGCTATTAATTACTGCCTCAGTTTCAGAACCTGTTATTGGTCTATTCAGGGATTAGACTTCTTCCTGGTTTAGTCTTGGGAGAGTGTATGTGTTCAGGAATTTACCAATTTCTTCTAGATTTTCTGTTTATTTGCATAGAGGTGTTTATAGTATTCTCTGATGGTAGTTTGCATTTCTGTGGGATCAGTAGTGATATCCCTTTTTCATTTTGTATTATGTCTATTTGATTCTTCTCTCTTTTCCTCTTTATTACTCTGGCTATCAGTCTATCTATTTTGTTAATCTTTTCAAAAAAAACCAGCTCCTGGATTCTTTGATTTTTTTTGAAGTGCTTTTCGTGTCTCTATCTCCTTCAGTTCTGCTCTGATCTTAGTTATTTCTTGTCTTCTGCTAGCTTTTGAATTTGTTTGCTCTTGCTTCTCTACTTCCTTTCATTGTAATGTTAGGGTGTCGATTTTAATCTTTCCCACTTTCTCCTATGGGCATTTAGTGTTATAAATTTCCCTCTAAACACTGCTTGAGCTGTGTCCCAGAGATTCTGGTACGTTGTGTCTTTGTTCTCATTGGTTTCAAAGAATTTATTTATTTCTGCCTTAATTTCGTTATTTACCCATAGTCATTCAGGAGCAGGTTGCTCAGTTTCCATGCAGTTGTGCAGTTTTGAGTGAGTTTCTTAATCCTGAGTTCTAATTTGATTGCACTATGGTCTGAGAGACTGTTTATTATGATGTCTGTTCTTTTGCATTTGCTGAGGAGTGTTTTACTTCCAATTATGTGGTCGATTTTAGAATAAGTGCTATGTGGTGCTGAGAAGAATGTGTATTCTGTTGATTTGTGGTGGAGAATTCTGTAGATGTCTATTAGGTCCACTTGTTCCAGAGCTGAGTTCAAGTCCTGAATATCCTTGTTAATTTTCTGTCTCATTGATCTATCTAATATTGACAGGTGGATGTTAAAGTCTCCCACTATTATTGTGGGGGGGGTCTAAGTCTCTTTGTATGTCTCTAATAACTTGCTTTATGACTCTTGGTACTCCTATATTGGGTGGATATATATAGAGAATAGTTAGCTCTTCTTGATGCATTGTTCCCTTTACCATTATGTAATGCCCTTCTTTGCATTTCTTCACAGAATTAGATAAAAACTACTTTAAATTTCACGTGGAACCAAAAAAGAGTCCATATAGCCAAGACAATCCTAAGCAAAAAGAACAAACCTGGAGGCACCACACTACCTGACTCAAACTATACTACAAGTCTATAGTAACCAAAACTGCGTGCTACTGGTACAAAAACAGATATATAGCCCAATGGAACAGAACAGAGGCCTTAGAAATAGCACCACACGTCAACAACCATCTGATCTTTGACAAACCTGACAAAAACAAGCAATGGAGAAAGGATTCCCTATTTAATAAGTGGTGTTGGGAAAATTGGCTAGCCATATGCAGAAAACTGAAACTGGATCCCTTCCTTACACCTTATACAAAAATCAATTCAAGATGGATTAAAGACTTAAATGTTAGACCTAAAACCATAAAAACCCTAGAAGAAAACCTAGGCAATACCATTCAGGGTACAGGCATGGGCAACGACTTCATGACTGAAACACTAAAAGCAATGGCAACCAAAGCCAAAATTGACAAATGTTATCTAATTAAACTAAACTTCTGCACAGCAAAAGAAACTATCATCAGAGTAAACAGGCAACCTACAGAATGGGAAAAAATTTTTGCAATCTATCTGTCTGACAAAGGACTAATATCCAGAATCTACAAAGAACTTCAACAAATATACAAGGAAAAAAAACATCAAAAAGTAGGCGAAGGATATGAACAGACACTTCTCAAAAAAAAGGCATCTATGTAGCCAGCAGACACATGAAAAAAAGCTCATCATCACTGATCATTAGAGAAATGCAAATCAAAAGCACAATGAGATATCATCTCATGCCAGTTAGAATGGCAATCATTAAAAAGTTAGGAAACAACAGATGCTGGAGGGGATGTGGAGAAATAGGAACACTTTTACAATGTTGGTGGCAGTGTAAATTAATTCACCCATTGTGGAAGACAGTGTGGCAACTCCTCAAGAATCTAGAACCAGAAATATTTGACCCAGCAATCCCATTATTGGGTATGTACCCAAAGGATTATAAATCATTCTACTATAAAGACACATGCACACATATGTTTATTGCAGCACTGTTCACAATAGCAAAGACTTGGTTGGATCCAACCCAAATGCCCATCAATGAAGGACTAGATAAAGAAAATGTGGCACATATACACCATGGAATACTATGCAGTGATAAAAAAGGATGAGTGCATGTCCTTTGCAGGGACATGGATGAAGCTGGAAACCATCATTCTCAGCAAACTAACACAGGAACAGAAAACCAAACTCCATATGTTCCCACTCATAAGTGGGAGTTGAACAATGAGAACACATGGACACAGGGAGGGGAACATCACACACCGGGGCCTGTTAGTGGGTAGGCGGGTAGGGGAGGGATAGCATTAGGAGAAATACCTAATGTAGATGACAGGTTGATGGGTGCAACAAACCACCATGGCATGTGTATACCTATTTAGCAAACCTGCACGTTCTGCACATGTATCCCAGAACTTAAAGTATAATAAAATAAATAAATAAATAAATAAATAAAATTTCTTAATTAAGAAAAAAATGGAGTATGTACAGACAAATGTGGGTAATTCAAGTTGACAAAAATGTATAAGTTTCAGGGCTGAGCGCCAGGTCTCAAGTCATTAGTGTCACCCTCTATGAAGGTCATTCATGAGCTATAGTATTCCAATGCCTCCTCAACCACATATACACAGTATTACGGAGTCAGCTGGTATATGAAAGGAATATAGGCTTTAGAGTCAGACAGTATGGGTTCAAGTCTTGGCTCTGTAACTTACTTGGCACCTGATATGTGACCTTGAGCAGAGCTCAGGCTCTTCACCTGCATAAAGGAGTTAATATCAACTTCAGAATATGGTTGTTAGAATTAAATGAGATAATGTATGAGGCACCTAACATGATTTCCTTCTCCTCTTTAAAAGGACAGCCTGGGAAATGACAGTTCCTCGCATTAGAGGGTTAATAAGGAGAAGTTATTCTAAGCTACTAGTTTGGGTACAGGCATCCTGTCCCAGACAGCCCATCAGCCCCACTAATGGGATTTAAAACAGTTACTGCCTTTTCCTCAGTCATGTAATGATTTCTGGACAGCCTGAGAGGTCCATTATCTGCAGTCCATACTTCTGCTCTGTCTGGCGATAATGACTTCTTAGCACAACAGCAGGGTCGCGGTCTTCCACTTCCTGCTGTGCAAAGGACCCTTGTTGAAGTCAAAGACAAATTGTCCATCCCACCACAGAGACCAGTGGTCTGTGAAATGCTGCCCACGGACTGCCACAATAGCTCGTGGAAAGTCATCCTCTAAGGCAAGGGTGCCCTCTAAAGTGTTTCCGGGGGGAATATGAATATGATAGATGAGTGCTTTCCGTGAGAAAGTGAGATCCCAGCATCCCTAGAGGGCATCTGAGGTTGATATCGGGGTGCCAGGAACCTCCCCAGCCTCTGAGGTGCTGTCTCATCCCACTCGGTTCTTACAAGCTGCCTGCAGAGCCCAAGGGCAAGAAAAACTAATGCATTTTAAAAGACCTCACAAAACTCTGATTTAAAAATCAATGCTCAGATGTGATAATTAACTTAGGTTGCCATTAAGATTTTTTCTTTCTGTATTCTCTGTATTCTTATCTTACTGTTTTTATCATATTATATACAAGTTGCCTCAAATCCTGTTTAGAAGTAGACAAGATATAAATCCTAAATAAGCAAAACAAATGTGATAATAAATTAAAGGACTTATACCAGGCTTGAGCAGATCCCAAAAGAATTGTTGGCATTAACAAGGAGGGAACCTCTTACTTAAATTAAGAAAGATATAACGTTCATTCTGCATTGTGATTTGTCAAATGAATGCTAATGTAAGACTCAGGATGAAAGGAAAAGAATGCACTTGGTTGTAGAAATAAAATGGATGTAAGTAAATTTTTAAACTTATTTGAAGATACAAGAAAAGCTTTCTACTATGATTAGACAGCTACGTAGAAAATATTCTCAACTGACTGTTTAATTCAAGGTAAATATCAAATTTATTAAATATTATCTTATTTTGATTTAGCAAACAAACTGTAAAGTTTTAAAACATTTACCTGCTGAAGTTGTATCAAATGCTGATTCAGTTTAAATATACATCGTTACAACCATTTTGGACAGCAATCTGGCCTTATGTTGTAAGTGCCTGAAAATGTTCATTCCATTTCTGGGAATCTATCCTAAAAAATAAATCCCAAATTCAGGAAGAAATTATGCAGAATGACACAATAGCAAAAAAATGGAAACACGCTAAAAATGTCCTATTATAGGTAAATAGTTACATAATTATGTCATGCCTATATGATGAAATAGCATTAATCCTTAAAAGTTTTTAGTGATACAGGAAAAAACTGAAAATAGAATTTAAAATGTATGTACACTATAAGATAAACTATGTAAAACAGAGAGAAGTACAAAAAAATTAGTAGTAGCTGGAGGTATGGGAAGCTTAAGTTAATGTATTTCTAACATTTTCAAGTTGTCTCTATGAGGACATAGTATATTTATAATCTGGAAAAATAATATTTTATTTATGAAAAATAAATAAATGGGATTAGTTTGCCAAAGGAAAAAAAAATTACTTTTCACTGATGGACATAACCAGTGCAGCCTTGGTCACCAGGCAACCTGGATTCAGAAAAGGAGTCACCAAGCCGAGGAAAAGGAAACAAGCCAGGATTGTGAGGGACCTGGTTGGAAGGACCACCTAGCTGCAGGGCTTGCCCCAAAACAGATGATCAGTTCCAAATCACTGAGTCCCACGGGGCAGGGTGAACTGACATCCGAGCCAGAGTCTGATCTGGTCAGTAGAGCAGTAGCATTGCTCAGAGAACAACTATGACCAGAAAAAAAGAATCAAACAATTGAAACTGACCAGAAATGACACAGATGATACAATTAGTAGGCAAATATATTAAAAGTTGTTATCACTATAGTACCTCCGTTCAAGAAGCTAGAAGAAAGACTGAACATACTAAAGTGAAATGTGGAAGATTTTTAAAGGCCCAAGTCAAAATTCTAGAGATCAACACTACAAGGTCTGAAAAGAAAAATGCTGGAATGGATTAATAGTATATTAGACATTGCAGAAAAAAAGATTAGTGAACTTGAAGGCACAGTAGTAGAAACTTTGCAATATAAAATTCAGACAGAAAATCAAGGCTGCAAAACATAAAAATAAAAAAGAACAGAACCTCACTGAGCTGCAGTGCAACTTTAAGTGGCCAATACACATGCAGTTGAAGTCACCAAAAACAAGAAAGAGAGTGAGACAGAAAAATATCTAAAAAAGTAATGACCAAAATTTTTTCAAATCTCATGAAATCCATAAACCTTCCAAATACAGATGCTCCTCAATTTACAATGGGATTATGTCATGGTAAACCCATCATAAGCCAAAAATATTCTAAGTTGAAAATCCACTTAATACCTGGACAAACCCATTGTAAAGTAAAAAAATTACAAGTCAAACCATTGTTAAGTCAGGAACCATCTGTAATTCGAAAGCAGCTCAACAAACCATAAGCACAAGAAAATTGAAAGTGATTATACTAAGGCACATTATAATTAAATTACTTTAAATCACTGTTAAAGAATAAACATTATAAAGCAGTCAGAAAAAGAAAAAACATGTACACACGAACAAAGATAAGGAAGACAGCAAATTTCGTGTTGGAAGCAACACAAGCCAAAGACAATGAAAGTAATAATATCTTCAATGTACTTTTTAAATATCGGTCTAGAATTCTATACACAGTAAAAATAACTCTTAAAAAACAAATAAAGATTTTTTCAGACATACAAAACTTATACCAGGATAATTGTACCAGATGGAAATATAGATCTACACAAAGGAAAGAGAGCACCAGACATATAGAGGTTAACATAAAAGAACTTTTTCTTATTTCTAAGCTTCTTTAAAGATAATTGACTGCTTAAAGCAAAAAATGAAACTGATGTATTATTAGGTTTATAATGTATGTAGAAATAAAATGTAAGACATAAATAGCACAAAGTCTAGGAATGAAGAAGTGGAAGTATACTGTTATAAGGTTTTTATACTATAAGTAAGGTCTGACATTCATTATGAGAGGTGTGGCATCTCTAATTTATCTCTATAAACCCTAAATCAATCACTAAATTAACAAAGAGTTATAGCTAAAAGAATAACAAAGGAAATAAAATGGAGTTATAATATTCAATCCAAATGGAGGTAAATAAAGACAATAAAGGAGAAGAAAGAAAAGATGAGGAAATAGAAAAAAGACAAGGTGGTAAGTTTAAAGCCAGCTAGAGTAATAATCACACTAAACATAAACGGCCTAAATGCTCCAATTAAGAGGCAGCAATTGTCAGACTGGTTTAAAAATCAGGAGTCAAATATAAAGTCACAAACAGGTTAAAACTAAAAGAATTGGGGATATAGTGTGCTAACATTGATTAAAAGAAAATTGAAGTGGCTATATTAATACCAGGCATAGTAAATATTCTTGCTTTTTAGGGCAAATACTAACAGTAATAAGCAGGGTCATTTTCTACTGATAAGAGGGTCAATTCAGTAAGTGGACATAACACTTATAAATGTGTATGCACCTAATGACAAACTCCAAAATGTATGAAACAAAAACTGATAAAACCACAAGGAGAACTAGACAAATCACAATCCACATAGGCAGAGATTTCAACCTTCTCGCTCAATAACTGATAGAATACATGGACAGAAAATTAGTAAGGACATTAAAGGCTTGACACAGACTATCAACCAATTGACATAATTGAAAATTACAGACTATCCACTAATTGACATAATTGAAAATTACAGACCAACACCAACAGAATTACTTTCAAGTTCACACAAATCATTTACAAAATGAGCCCATAATCTCTGGGACATAAATCAAGTCTCAATAAAATTAAAAAGTTGTATTAGTTTGTTCTCATGCTGCTAATAAAGGCATACCCAAGGCTGAGTAATTTATAAAGGAAAGAGGTTTAATTACACACAGTTCAGCATGACTAAGGAAGCCTCAGGAAATTTATAATCATGGCAGAAGGTGAAGGGGAAGCAAAGCACCTTCTTCACAAGATAGCAGGAAGGAGAAGTACTCAGCGAAGGGGGGAAGAGCCCCTTATAAAAGCATCCGATCTTGTGAGAACTCACTCACTTTCATGAGAACAGCATGGAATAAACTGCCTCTATGATTCAATTACCTCACCTTGTCTCTCCCTTGACATGTGGGGATTATATTTCAAGATGAGATTTGGGTGGGGACACAAAGCCTAACCATATCATTCTGCCCTGGCCCTTCCCAAATCTCATGTCCCTTTCACATTTCAAAACAAATCATGCCTTCCCAACACTCCCCCAAAGTCTTAATTCAAATTAATTCTAGCACTAACCCAGAAGTCCAAATCCAAAGTCTCATCTGAGACAAGGCAAGTCTCTTCCACCTATGAGCCTACAAAATCAAAAGCAAGTTAGTTACTTCCTAGATACAATAGGGGCACAGGTATTGGGTAAATACACCCATTACAAATGGAAGATACTGGCCAAAATAAATGAGCTACAGGCCCCATGCAAGTCTGAAATCCAGCCAGGCAGTCGAATCTTAAAGCTCCAAAATGATCTCCTTTGACTCCATGTCTCACATCCAGATTACACTGATGCAAAAGGTGGGTTCCCATGGCCTTGGGCAGCTCTGCCTCTGTGGCTTTGTAGGGTACAGTACAGCCCTCCTCCTGGCTGCTTTCACGAGCTGGATTTGAGTGTCTGTGGCTTTTCCAGGTGCACAGCTCAAGCTGTCAGTGGATGTACCACTCTGCGGTCTGGAGCATGGTGGTCCTCTTCTCACAGCTCCACTAGGCAGTGTCCCAGTGGGGACTCTGTGTGGGGGCTCCCACCCCACATTTCCCTTCTCCACTGCTTTAGCAGAGGTTCTCCATGATGGCTCCACCACTGCAGCAAACTTCTGCCTGGACATCTGGGCATTTCCATACATCCTCTGAAATCTAGACAGGGGTTCCTAAAGCTCTCTTCTTGATGTCTGTGTACCCCACAAGCCCAATACCACATGTAAGCTGCCAAGGCTTGGGGTTTGCACCCTCCGAAGCAATGGCCCTAGCTGTACCATGGCTCCTTTTTGGAATGGCTAGGATGCAGGGCACCAAGTCCTGAGACTGCTCTTGAATGGAGCAGTTGGACTCTGGGCCCAGCCCAAAAAACCGTTTTTTTCTCCTAGGCCTCTGAGAGGGACTGCTGTGAAGATCTCTGACACACCCTGGAAACATTTTCCTCATTGTCTTGGTGATTAACATTTGGCTCCTTGTTACTTATGCAAATTTCTGCAGCAGGCTTGAATTTCTCAGAAAATGGGTTTTTCTTTTCTGTCACATTGTCAGGCTGCAAATATTCTAAGTTTTTCTGTTCTGCTTCCCTTTTAAACATAAGTTCCAATTCCAGATCAACTGTTTGTGAATACATAAAACTGAATGCTTTTAAGAGCACCCAAGTTACATCTTGAACACTATGCTGCTTAGAAATTTCTCCCACTGGATACCCTAAATCATCTCTCTCAAGTTCAAAGTTCCACAGATCTCTAAGGCAGGGGCAAAATGCCACCAGTCTCTTTGTTAAAGCATAGCAAGAGTCACCTTTGCTCCACTTCCCAACAAGTTCCTCATCTCCATCTGAGACCACCTCAGCCTGGATTTCATTGTCCATATCGCTATCAGCATTTTGGTCAAAACCATTCAGCAAGTCTCTAGGATGCTCCAAACTTTCCCACATCTTCCTGTTTTCTTCTGACCCCTCCAAACTGTTCCAACCTCTGCCTGTTACCCAGTTCCAAAGTCACTTCCACATTTTCGGGTATCTTTATAGCAGCACCCCACTCTTTGTGGTACCATTTTACTATATTAGTCTTTTTCATGCTGCTATAAAGACCTGCCTGAAACTAGGTGATTCATAGAGGAAAGAGGTTTAATTGACTCACAGTTCAGCATTGCTGGAGAGGCCTCAGGAAACTGACAATCATGGCAGAAGACAAAGAGGACACAAGGCACCTTCTTGACAAGGCAGGAAGAAGGAGAAGTGCTGAGCAAAGTGGTCGAGAGCCCCTTATAAAACTGTCAGATCTCGTGAGAACTCACTATCACAAGAACAGCATGGGGGAAACCGTCGACATGATTCAATTACATCCACCTGGTCTCTCCCTTGACACATGGGGATTCTGGGGATTACAATTCAAGATGAGATTTGGGTGGGGACACAAAGCTAACCATATGAAAACCTAAAAATGTCATAAAACGAGTAGAAAAATCATAGAGAATGCCTATGAAGCAGAATCCCTGCAGACAGATTTTACCTACTTAATTTTGTCTGGGCAGCAGAGTATACCATCAGCAGATGAATGACAATGCCAAGTTCAATTAAATGTTATACTTAGATATAGGCATTTTTTTAGGACTGGTTGAATTTCTTTCAGCCTCTAAAGCCATGCTGATTTACCTGACTGTTAAATCACATAGAAACCCCAGAATAATGACACTGACCAACAGGAAGAACTTACAACTGCACCATATGAAAACTTGGTTATATGTTTGCCTACTTAGGTTCCAAAAGAGCAAGTGGCAACTGGATTTTCCCAATAGTTTTTCAAAAGTATAAAATTTTTATACTCATATAAATATGGAAGAAAGAAGACACAAGAGCACATGATGAAAACAACTGGAAAGTTGATTTTATTTTATAACAGGAGGAATAGAAATCATGTGCTATCTAAAACATAAACATAACATTTAAACTTTCAACTATGTCTGAATTCTATAAAGCTGCAATCAGATCTACCATTGGCAAGCCACAAGTACTTTATGTGACACAGGGACAGAGGCACAACAATCCTTCAAATTTGGAATAGTAGGCCTGGCTGCTGATGTAATGGGGAACAATGATTAAACTATCAATCAAACAGATTTTTTAAATATGTTGCATGTCATAGCCAGAGATTTCAAACCCAGGACAAAAATCTGGTGTTAGTTACAACAGAGATAAATTGGGTGGTCTCTTGGTACACAGATGATCACAAAATCAGCATAATGTGGAAATCAATTCAAGGACTATTTTCTTCATCTCTGCTCATGAAGATTCCAAATTAATCAAAGTGTTGTTACAGATTTATAACCCATGGTTCTGCAAAGTGTTTAATGCTATTCTCTAGGTTATTTACCATGTTACCATGTTTCAAAGCAAAATCATTTAAGTGAGCCCCATTCTTTATCTGTACCTAAGTATCTTTACTTTTTAAACAATTGAATTCCTGGTTATTTTTTCCAGATGTACAGCACTTCCAAAATTTAAGAACAACAACAACAACAACAATGAGGTAAATTTCATCCCTGAACCATCTGGAAAGCCAGAAGAAATGGGGTTGGTCTCAGTGCCAAATTCTCTCTAGAGCCTATTTTATGCTCACTCACATCTAATTGAACATCCTTCCCTATATATGAAAGTTCAATTGAAATATTGCAAGGTCCCAGGTGATCACTTCCTCCTCAAGTTTGTTTCCAGAGAAAACTCTTTCTCTGTACTTAAATGTTGTAGACTGCATATCAAAAAAGGAAAGCACATATGATTCTCTTTATGTTACAGCTGCCAGAAACCAAATCCAAATTGTCTTCCCTGAATATTATAATCTGTTTGGCCTTGGTGCCTAAAAGGAGGGGAATTTTATCTTTCTGAAATATGACCTGTTTCTTAAAGCAGGTATTCTATTTCAATGTGCAAGCCACTATAAGAACTTTTAGAAGTGGATAAAATGTAAAACTAAAGTAAATGTAATAAAACACAAATATTAAATGCTATTTTGGCCAGGCACAGTGGCTCACGCCTGTAATCCCAACCGTTTGGGAGGCTGAGGCAGGCAGATTGTTTGAGGTCAGGAGTTCGAGACCAACCTGGCCAACATGGTGAAATCCCATCTCTACTAAAAATACAAAAAATAAGCCGGGCATGGTGGCATGCACCTGTAGTCCCAGCTACTTGGGAGGCTGAGGCAGGAGAATTGCTTAAACCCCAGAGGCAGAGGTTGCAGTGAGCCAACATTTTGCCAGTGCACTCCAGCCTCTGCGACAGAGCACAAGAAAATAAAACGTTATTTCATGTTTATAACTATACAGAAACTTTCATTCATGCCACAAATATTTCACATTTGTTATTATGTGACAGGTACTGTGTTAAGTGCTCATATATGGAAATAAACAAAACCTGGTTCCTACCTTAAGAGACTCATAGACTAGTGGAGGACTCAGACAAGAAAAGTGAAATTTCTATGGATGGTCGTAGAGCTCCCACAAAAAGAAAACTGCTTTAGGGATTCAAATATCTCATTTCATCTAAAGCCACAACACCCATAGAAAGGCAGTTATTGCAAGTAATAGCAGCTTTCTGCTTTGTTCTCCAGTTATTTATCCAACTTTAACACTCCCTTCTAGTCAACATCTATTAACCTCTCTTCATATGTGGACCAATAGCCCAATTTCAAATATTCTGATGCAATCCTCATATCTTATACCAGATCACATGCCCCATGTTTCAGAGATGTAATCACTAGATGCATTCATTTCTACTTCCACACCAGCTTAGGCTGGTTTCCCACCCAAAAACCATTCCAGCCTCTTCATCATCATCTCCTCATCCGTACAAATCTTAAATAATCCTCAAGGCACAGAGTAAACTCCACTTTGTCCTTGCCATACCTTCTGTTACTACAATGCCCTACCCTCTCTGCTCTCTGAACTCCTGGAGTACTTGTGGTAAATTAGACCCACTTTTATCTCCAGTTGTTTCCTATATATTAGTTTTACCTCTCCAAGTAAACTCAAATTCCTTCAGGAACCACGTGCTCCAATAATGCTCAGAATACAAAAATGCTGCCAAAAAAATAGGTTAATCCTAATGTAGGTGGAAAATGAGGTCAAATGAGACTATAATTTTTCTAAGGTAACAGGGCTAAATAATAAATACCATTAATAGCTACCATTTATCAAGTACCAATCTCACAAGTTCTATGTCATTCAAAATTAAAACAAAAATAGATTCTGGATTCTCTAGCTTTTGAGCAAGCATTTATATCACATGTTATACTTAACTCTACCATATTATTATGATAATAAGTTTTATTTATTATCTACTTTGTGCCAAGAACTGTATATCTACGATTTCACTTTATCTTCATACAACTATATGTAGTAAATATAATTACCATCCCTCAAAAAGGTTAAAGCATTTGCCCATGTGCTCATTGCATGAGTTTGAGGCAAGATTCTAAACTAGGTCTGTCTGACTAAAAATCTTTTGTTCTTTACCACTCTGTACTACCTCTGAATTACAAAAAAAAGAACTCCATTCTTGCATCAATTCATCCATGTTTAAAAAGTGTAGGACACATGTTTATCCAATTCAGACTATATACCCAGCTCATACCTAGGTCCACATTATGTAGCACAAACTGGAAAGTTTACAATTTTCCATAAAACTTTAGTTCTGAGAGATGTAAATCTCCCAGTTACGTGGCACTTTTAAAAATTGTAAAATCAGTCTTTTGGGTGGTCCAGGCTCACTGGACAACTAAGAAAGATACTTTGCATTGTACAGTTCCTAATCCCACACCTGGCAATTCCAGACTAAATTATTTTACTATAGCATTGTTTGCTGTGTGTGTTTTGTTAGTTAATTTGTTTAGATAAGCTGATAGCAGATTATTTTAATTTCAGCCTGAAAAGCTCATACCTTGGTCTTTTTCCTCTGGCCAAATCATTGCATCTATTTAATTGTGCATGTTTGGAGGTGGGTTATTTTTCCCCCACTCATTGGCTAATTAAACAAGTAGTACAATAATTACCATCAAAACGTGGAAATTTCTATAGAATGCATTTCTTCCACATATGCACACATTTTGTTAATGCAAGTGGTAATTATTTACTTATTTATCATCAATAGTGCCTGAAAGTCGGTTGGTCCTTAATTACTTCCTAATTATCCAGACCCCTATTTCTTTATAAAGACTGACTTGAAAACAGCAGTTCAATAGCTCAGACATTTTACAACTAACATTGATTTCTCCTCCCTCCTCATTTATTGACGGGCCATTCTCCCACTTGTATTTATTTTTCCATGATAAAATTATAAATGAGCATGCTTATTCATTTTAATTCCTTCAGTTAGCATTAGCTCAGCTAGCCTCTTCATTTTCTTTGCCTCTTTTGGCTGTAATAGTTCTATTGAGATTCTCTTGTTTGAATCCTTCCCTGTGATCCATTTCAAGAATATGCTCCTTTCAGTTTTGAGCTTCGTCTTGCAAGTCCTATATACGTCATGCCCCCTTTCACAAAATTATGCTGCCAAATAATCATTTTAGCACATAAACTTCCTCAGCCCATGCCAACTTACACACTATCATCTTTTTAAGTTGTCCCTTTGTTCTCTTTGTAGCTTTAATATATGCAAAATTTGCAGATACTCTATCACATATATTTTGACAGAAAAATAAAACATATTCGTCAATGAATAGCATATGTATTTACCTCCAGTAGCCTGGGGAAAACAGAAACAATCAGAATAGTTCTATAAATAGAAGCTTCATCAGTTTAATCTCTTCAAACTTTCCACAAACACAACCATTCTGCCCAAGGTAAGATTCTCTTCCATGATTTGCTTTGTCCATAGCACAAGACCCTTATTTATCCTTCATTCTTCTTCCAAGCTCCAACATGTGCTTCAAAATGTATAATAATCTCTGCCTGATGAAATGGAAAGAAGTGGAAGAATTCTCACTTAAATAGCAGAGAATATTCCTTTAGTGACATTGACACCTTGGATGGGAATTTTTTTGATGTACTCCTTTCTGAAAGTGATCTTTATCCCACTTCCACGTATCCTAAAATAATAAAACACAAATAAAAAAACTATACTTTTAAACTTAACCCATGGTATGAAACATGACAAAGTAAGACATTGTATTAGTTTCCTGTTGCTGCTATAACAAATTACCAAAAACGTGGTGGCTTAAAACAACACAGATTCATTATTTAACAGTTCTAGAAATCAGAAGTCTGAAATGGATCTCATTGAGCTAAAGTCAAGGTGGCAGCAGGGCTGTGTTCTTTCTAGAGGCTCTAGAGGTTCTTTCTAGAGGAAAATCTGTTTCCTTACCTTTCTAGCTTCTGGAGGCTGCCCACAAATTTAGCTCCCGGCCCCCTCTCATCTTTAAAGCCAGCAATGGGTGGATAAACTTCACACACTGCACCACTCTGACACTGACTCTCCTTCCATCTTTAACCTATAAGGAGCCTACGATTACGTTAAGCCCACCTAGATAATCCAGGATAATCTACCCGTCTCAAAGTCAGCTGATTAGCAACTTTAATTCCTCCTTGCCATGTAATTTAACAGTTCACGGGTTCTGGGAATTAAGATGTGAACATCTTTGGGGAGCCATTTTTCTATTACAGTATTATGAATGAATTTGTTATGAACAAACAAACAAACAGAACCTACCTTTTCAAATGAATGTTATCTCCTTCACAGTAGTCCCGCTTGGGTAGACTGCATTCTTTCTAATCATGCTGAAATTATTAAAGAGGTTCTATTTTTTGGTGGTGTCTGCAAGTTCAATGGAACATTCTTGGCATATCCATACTTGTATCAAATGTTTATGCTTTTAAATATGAATTTGCATTTGAACAGAGCCAAAAATCATATGAAAGCAAATGTATTGACTATCATAAATAATCAAATAAAAAAGTGTCACTGAGTCAAAAACAAGACAAAACCAATGAAATAATGAGATTGATTTTTTTCAGTAGACTGATTTTTCTTGTAAATGATAATGTTATAATAATCATAATAATAATAAATAGCTAACCAAGCACTCATTAGGTATCCAGGACTATTCTAGGACTTTTACTTGAATTATCTTATACCTATGAGGTAGGAACTATTATGAACTCCATTTTACATGAGTTTAATAAGTAGGGAGTTTAACTTATTTAAGGTTACCAGCTAGAAAGTGGAAGAGCAGGGATTCCAGCCCAAGGGATCTCTCCTAATCCTGTTACCAGCAACATTTCTACACAATTCTCCCCATTTTCTTTTCACCTAACTTCCCACCCACAACCCTCATTTCGCTTTCACAAATATTTGTTCTATAATTTCATTATTTAGTTTAAAGGCAAAAAAGCTCCCTGTTGCCAAACAGATTTTTTATGTAAGCTAACATACATCTGGTCATTTATCTAATCAATTCCATCCTTTCTCATTTCATTTCAAGACAAAATATTCTGCTATAAAGCAGGAAAAAATATTTAAGTATAATAATAATAGCAAAAAAGTCAGGTGACATATTTATTTGGCTTGTGCTTTGTGACATTTAAGAATTGCATTATAACCAAAAACAAACCAAAAAAAAGAATAAACATGAGATAAAGACCAAGAGATGACTCCAAGTGGATAGCAATTATTCAGCTTTATCGTGGTGTGGAACAGGTATATTTTCAGTATGCTCCTCAATGTACAGGTATATGGAGCTATGTCATACAATGGTGCTGTGTCCAAATAAACCCATCATAAGTTGAAAATACTGTAAGTCAAAAACACACATTCAACTTACAATATTTTCTCTTTTTAAAAAAACAACAGAAATTTATTTTCTCAGTTCTGGAGGCTGGAATTCTAAAATTCTAAAATTAGGGCGTTGGCAGCTTTGGATCCTCTTAAGACCTCTCTCCTTCGCTTGCAGATGGCCACCTTCTCCCTGTGTCTTCACGTCCTTTTTTTTTCTGTGTGTGGAAGTCTCTGGTATCTTTCTGTCTGCCCATATTTCCTTTTCTTATGAGGACACCAGTCACATTGGATTAGAGCTTAAGCATATGAATTTTGGAAGACACAATTCAGTCCATAACAGTATGGTGCTCCACCTGAACCAGTGCACCACCCAGGTGAATCTGGAAGCTGCCACCACTGTCTCAGTGTCAGGGCCCACATCCCTCCCCTATTGCTGAGCATCAAGCCCTGTATGATGAGGGCTTTGCCTTCGTTCTCCCTTTTAAAACTTATAATGACCTTATGAGGTGGACTTGGCTATCCATGTCTTTCAGCTGAATGTTAGAAGCTTTAAGAGGTGAAATAACTTGCCCAAGTTTGCCAACCAGAGTATAGCCTTGTCTAGTGTGTCTCAATTTTCAGTATTTTCCACTTAGGATGGGTTTATCAGAAAGTGACCCCACCATAAGTAAAGGAGCATCTGCAGAAAATATCTAGTGGCTCAGATTTTCTTCCCAGCAATTCTGGGTGCAGACGTTAAGTATGTAACATTTCTAAATGTTACTCTGCCGTAAAAAGATCATCTCTAACTACCATCTTTACTGACAAATCAGTGGGAGAAGGAGACTTTCCGTCCTGAGGATAAGTCAGAAGGACACAGGCACACACAGTGTGATAATTCAGAGTCTGTGAAAAGGCTGAGAAAAGCCAAACCAGCCTGGCTGGCAAATTAACTCCTCTGAGGCTCCTTTCTGGGCAGCAGCATCAGGAAGCCATTGAGAGCAGCTTAGCCGTAGAGAGGACTGGAAGGGGCTCTTTGGGCATATAATACAAAAAGCAGCAGACATACTTAGGCAACTCTTATCCCTACAAAAGTAAGAATGTAAAGACGACTCTATCCCTATAAAAATTCAGCCTGTCACTTCGGCCCTGAAAATCACAGTAAGAAGCTGAAGTCCACATCAAGTGACTTGCAGGAAGTTCATGCCATCCCCTGGATTTCTGCAGATTCCCAGAATTATATTATCATGAACACCTCTCCCTCCCAGCTCCAGTCTCTGCTCAGTTAGTTCAGTCTAAGGATCATTTTTCCTTCCTAAGCCTAAGTTATCCTCCACACTACATCAACCTCCATAATTTACAAACACACAAATTAAAACACTCACCCCTGGTGGCATGACATTGGTGTCTGAGTGTCTGGGAATACTGAATATGTATATGTTGTAAATTGAGACAGACTATATATATATATATGTGTGTATATATATATATACACATATATATATATAACAGCATTACACAAAAACTCACATGTAATATATGACATCTCCATTCATTAAAGTTTTTGGGGGGGGAGGAGCCAAGATGGCCGAATAGGAACAGCTCCGGTCTACAGCTCCCAGCCTGAGCGACGCAGAAGACGGGTGATTTCTGCATTTCCATCTGAGGTACCGGGTTCATCTCACTTGGGAGTGCCAGACAGTGGGCGCAGGCCAGTGTGTGTGCGCACCGTGCGCGAGCCGAAGCAGGGCGAGGCATTGCCTCACCTGGGAAGCGCAAGGGGTCAGGGAGTTCCCTTTCCGAGTCAAAGAAAGGGGTGACGGACGCACCTGGAAAATCGGGTCACTCCCACCCGAATATTGCGCTTTTCAGACCGGCTTAAGAAACGGCGCACCACGAGACTATATCCCACACCTGGCTCAGAGGGTCGTACGCCCACGGAATCTCGCTGATCACTAGCACAGCAGTCTGAGATCAAACTGCAAGGCGGCAACCAGGATGGGGGAGGGGCGCCCGCCATTGCCCAGGCTTGCTCAGGTAAACAAAGCAGCCAGGAAGCTCGAACTGGGTGGAGCCCACCACAGCTCAAGGAGGCCTGCCTGCCTCTGTAGGCTCCACCTCTGGGGGCAGGGCACAGACAAACAAAAAGACAGCAGTAACCTCTGCAGACTTAAGTGTCCCTGTCTGACAGCTTTGAAGAGAGCAGTGGTTCTCCCAGCACGCAGCTGGAGATGTGAGAACCGGCAGACTGCCTCCTCAAGTGGGTCCCTGACCCCTGACCCCCGAGCAGCCTAACTGGGAGGCACCCCCCAGCAGGGGCACACTGACACCTCACACGGCAGGGTATTCCAACAGACCTGCAGCTGAGGGTTCTGTCTGTTAGAAGGAAAACTAACAACCAGAAAGGACATCTACACCGAAAACCCATCTGTACATCACCATCATCAAAGACCAAAAGTAGATAAAAGCACAAAGATGGGGAAAAAACAGAACAGAAAAACTGGAAACTCTAAAACGCAGAGCGCCTCTCCTCCTCCAAAGGAACGCAGTTCCTCACCAGCAACAGAACAAAGCTGGATGGAGAATGATTTTGACGAGCTGAGAGAAGAAGGCTTCAGACGATCAAATTACTCTGAGCTACGGGAGGACATTCAAACCAAAGGCAAAGAAGTTGAAAACTTTGAAAAAAATTTAGAAGAATGTATAACTAGAATAACCAATACAGAGAAGTGCTTAAAGGAGCTGATGGAGCTGAAAACCAAGGCTCGAGAACTACGTGAAGAATGCAGAAGCCTCAGGAGCCAATGCGATCAACTGGAAGAAAGGGTATCAGCAATGGAAGATGAAATGAATGAAATGAAGCGAGAAGGGAAGATTAGAGAAAAAAGAATAAAAAGAAATGAGCAAAGCCTACAAGAAATATGGGACTATGTGAAAAGACCAAATCTACGTCTGATTGGTGTACCTGAAAGTGATGTGGAGAATGGAACCAAGTTGGAAAACACTCTGCAGGATATTATCCAGGAGAACTTCCCCAATCTAGCAAGGCAGGCCAACGTTCAGATTCAGGAAATACAGAGAACACCACAAAGATACTCCTCGAGAAGAGCAACTCCAAGACACATAATTGTCAGATTCACCAAAGTTGAAATGAAGGAAAAAATGTTAAGGGCAGCCAGAGAGAAAGGTCGGGTTACCCTCAAAGGAAAGCCCATCAGACTAACAGCGGATCTCTCGGCAGAAACCCTACAAGCCAGAAGAGAGTGGGGGCCAATATTCAACATTCTTAAAGAAAAGAATTTTCAACCCAGAATTTCATATCCAGCCAAATTAAGCTTCATAAGTGAAGGAGAAATAAAATACTTTATAGACAAGCAAATGCTGAGAGATTTTGTCACCACCAGGCCTGCCCTAAAAGAGCTCCTGAAGGAAGCGCTAAACATGGAAAGGAACAACCGGTACCAGCCGCTGCAAAATCATGCCAAAATGTAAAGACCATCGAGACTAGGAAGAAACTGCATCAACTAATGAGCAAAATCACCAGCTAACATCATAATGACAGGATCAAATTCACACATAACAATATTAACTTTAAATATAAATGGACTAAATTCTGCAATTAAAAGACACAGACTGGCAAGTTGGATAAACAGTCAAGACCCATCAGTGTGCTGTATTCAGGAAACCCATCTCACGTGCAGAGACACACATAGGCTCAAAATAAAAGGATGGAGGAAGATCTACCAAGCCAATGGAAAACAAAAAAAGGCAGGGGTTGCAATCCTAGTCTCTGATAAAACAGACTTTAAAACAACAAAGATCAAAAGAGACAAAGAAGGCCATTACATAATGGTAAAGGGATCAATTCAACAAGAGGAGCTAACTATCCTAAATATTTATGCACCCAATACAGGAGCACCCAGATTCATAAAGCAAGTCCTGAGTGACCTACAAAGAGACTTAGACTCCCACACATTAATAATGGGAGACTTTAACACCCCACTGTCAACATTAGACAGATCAACGAGACAGAAAGTCAACAAGGATACCCAGGAATTGAACTCAGCTCTGCACCAAGCAGACCTAATAGACATCTACAGAACTCTCCACCCCAAATCAACAGAATATACATTTTTTTCAGCACCACACCACACCTATTCCAAAATTGACCACATAGTTGGAAGTAAAGCTCTCCTCAGCAAATGTAAAAGAACAGAAATTATAACAAACTATCTCTCAGACCGCAGTGCAATCAAACTAGAACTCAGGATTAAGAATCTCACTCAAAGCCGCTCAACTACATGGAAACTGAACAACCTGCTCCTGAATGACTACTGGGTACATAACGAAATGAAGGCAGAAATAAAGATGTTCTTTGAAACCAACGAGAACAAAGACACCACATACCAGAATCTCTGGGACGCATTCAAAGCAGTGTGTAGAGGGAAATTTATAGTACTAAATGCCTACAAGAGAAAGCAGGAAAGATCCAAAATTGACACCCTAACATCACAATTAAAAGAACTAGAAAAGCAAGAGCAAACACATTCAAAAGCTAGCAGAAGGCAAGAAATAACTAAAATCAGAGCAGAACTGAAGGAAATAGAGACACAAAAAACCCTTCAAAAAATCAATGAATCCAGGAGCTGGTTTTTTGAAAGGATCGACAAAATTGATAGACCGCTAGCAAGACTAATAAAGAAAAAAAGAGAGAAGAATCAAATAGACACAATAAAAAATGATAAAGGGGATATCACCACTGATCCCACAGAAATACAAACTACCATCAGAGAATACTACAAACACCTCTACGCAAATAAACTAGAAAATCTAGAAGAAATGGATACATTCCTCGACACATACACTCTCCCAAGACTAAACCAGGAAGAAGTTGAATCTCTGAATAGACCAATAACAGGCTCTGAAATTGTGGCAATAATCAATAGTTTACCAACCAAAAAGAGTCCAGGACCAGATGGATTCACAGCTGAATTCTATCAGAGGTACAAGGAGGAACTGGTACCATTCCTTCTGAAACTATTCCAATCAATAGAAAAAAAGGGAATCCTCCCTAACTCATTTTATGAGGCCAGCATCATTCTGATACCAAAGCCGGGCAGAGACACAACCAAAAAAGAGAATTTTAGACCAATATCCTTGATGAACATTGATGCAAAAATCCTCAATAAAATACTGGCAAACTGAATCCAGCAGCACATCAAAAAGCTTATCCACCATGATCAAGTGGGCTTCATCCCTGGGATGCAAGGCTGGTTCAATATACGCAAATCAATAAATGTAATCCAGCATATAAACAGAGCCAAAGACAAAAACCACATGATTATCTCAATAGATGCAGAAAAAGCCTTTGACAAAATTCAACAACCCTTCATGCTAAAAACTCTCAATACATTAGGTATTGATGGGACGTATTTCAAAATAATAAGAGCTATCTATGACAAACCCACAGCCAATATCATACTGAATGGGCAAAAACTGGAAGCATTCCCTTTGAAAACTGGCACAAGACAGGGATGCCCTCTCTCACCGCTCCTATTCAACATAGTGTTGGAAGTTCTGGCCAGGGCAATCAGGCAGGAGAAGGAAATAAAGGGTATTCAATTAGGAAAAGAGGAAGTCAAATTGTCCCTGTTTGCAGATGACATGATTGTTTATCTAGAAAACCCCATTGTCTCAGCCCAAAATCTCCTTAAGCTGATAAGCAACTTCAGCAAAGTCTCAGGATACAAAATCAATGTACAAAAATCACAAGCATTCTTATACACCAACAACAGACAAACAGAGAGCCAAATCATGAGTGAACTCCCATTCACAATTGCTTCAAAGAGAATAAAATACCTAGGAATCCAACTTACAAGGGATGTGAAGGACCTCTTCAAGGAGAACTACAAACCACTGCTCAAGGAAATAAAAGAGGACACAAACAAATGGAAGAACATTCCATGCTCATGGGTAGGAAGAATCAATATCGTGAAAATGGCCATACTGCCCAAGGTAATTTACAGATTCAATGCCATCCCCATCAAGCTACCAATGACTTTCTTCACAGAATTGGAAAAAACTACTTTAAAGTTCATATGGAACCAAAAAAGAGCCCGCATCTCCAAGTCAATCCTAAGCCAAAAGAACAAAGCTGGAGGCATCACACTACCTGACTTCAAACTATACTACAAGGCTACAGTAACCAAAACAGCATGGTACTGGTACCAAAACAGAGATATAGATCAATGGAACAGAACAGAGCCCTCAGAAATAATGCCGCATATCTACAACTATCTGATCTTTGACAAACCTGAGAAAAACAAGCAATGGGGAAAGGATTCCCTATTTAATAAATGGTGCTGGGAAAACTGGCTAGCCATATGTAGAAAGCTGAAACTGGATCCCTTCCTTACACCTTATACAAAAATCAATTCAAGATGGATTAAAGATTTAAACGTTAGACCTAAAACCAAAAAAAACCTAGAAGAAAACCTAGGCATTACCATTCAGGACATAGGCGTGGGCAAGGACTTCATGTCCAAAACACCAAAAGCAATGGCAACCAAAGCCAAAATTGACAAATGGGATCTAATTAAACTAAAGAGCTTCTGCACAGCAAAAGAAACTACCATCAGAGTGAACAGGCAACCTACAACATGGGAGAAAATTTTCGCAACCTACTCATCTGACGAAGGGCTAATATCCAGAATCTACAATGAACTCAAACAAATTTACAAGAAAAAAACAAACAACCCCATCAAAAAGTGGGCGAAGGACATGAACAGACACTTCTCAAAAGAAGACATTTATGCAGCCAAAAAACACATGAAGAAATGCTCATCATCACTGGCCATCAGAGAAATGCAAATCAAAACCACTATGAGATATCATCTCACACCAGTTAGAATGGCAATCATTAAAAAGTCAGGACACAACAGGTTCTGGAGAGGATGTGGAGAAATAGGAACACTTTTACACTCTTGGTGGGACTGTAAACTAGTTCAACCATTGTGGAAGTCAGTGTGGCGATTCCTCAGGGATCTAGAACTAGAAATACCATTTGACCCAGCCATCCCATTGCTGGGTATATACCCAAAGGACTATAAATCATGCTGCTATAAAGACACATGCACACGTATGTTTATTGCGGCACTATTCACAATAGCAAAGACTTGGAACCAACCCAAATGTCCAACAATGACAGACTGGATTAAGAAAATGTGGCACATATACACCATGGAATACTATGCAGCCATAAAAAATGATGAGTTCATGTCCTTTGTAGGGACATGGATGAAATTGGAAACCATCATTCTCAGTAAACTATCGCAAGAACAAAAAACCAAACACCGCATATTCTCACTCATAGGTGGGAATTGAACAATGACATCACATGGACACAGGAAGGGGAATATCACACTCTGGGGACTGTGGTGGGGTGGGGGGAGGGGGGAGGGATAGCATTGGGAGATATACCTAATGCTAGATGACACGTTAGTGGGTGCAGCGCACCAGCATGGCACATGTATACATATGTAACTAACTTGCACAATGTGCACATGTACCCTAAAACTTAGAGTATAATAAAAAAAAATAATAATTAAAAAAAAAAAAAAAAGCTTTTGGCTATTCTCTGTCTCCTCTGCCCTTCTCACACCCCCCTCCTAAAACAACTTAATCAGGAGCAAAATATATATTTTAATAAATACATACACATATATGTAATTTGCTCATGCAGAGTAATTTGTCTCCCTCCAGTCCCTCAATAACAAAGTTCCTTTGGAGCAACCAAAATCTGGAACTTTGATATCATCATTGTAGAATCCCTGATGAAGTTGTTAAACAAAGTGTGTCTCTTCCTCCATTTCTGGCATGAATGTTGTGTGGTGAAATGGGAGGTTCTATTTATATAATAGGTACCCAGATAAGGTAATAACTTAAGGTATTATTATCAACTACTCTATTTGAGTTCTCACCTTGAGTCTATTACCAAACTGTATCATTCCTGCATACAAACTACCTCTCAGAATTACACTCTTGCTTTCCAATTCCCTGGACATTTCCTGGAACTATGTCGGCAGTACCTGGATTATCAACACCCTTCATAGATGCCATTGTCTCCCTACCCAAACCAGAAACTGCTGCTGAAATAACTTTGACAAATATTTGTTTTATAATCTCATTCTTTAGTTTAAAGATACAAAAGCTCCCTATTGCCAAAGAGATTTTTTAAATGTAAGCTAACATACATCTGGCCATTTATGTAATCAACTCCATCCTTTCTTGCTTTCCTGTACAAATCTACCTCTGGCCAAGTAAATCTATTTCCAAACTCCAATCAGCATGATTTATGTAGCCTCACAAGCATTTCTGTTTTTAGCTGCATGCCAGCTCCACTGCCTGAAATATTCCTTCTCCTTTCTTCATCAATGAATATTCACTGGCACTTCAAAAACAAGGTCAAATTTTCTCTTCTCTTCTACAGGATGTGCTCCTTGACCTATGCCTCCTGACTGACACCACTGCTCTACCCTCAGCCGCTTTATCAATTAAGGGCTCTGTTATCCATGAGCTTACATCTAGCCAAAATAACTTACATTAGCTGAGCACTTACTGTGTACTAAGCACTTTGCATGAGCGTTAGCTCATTTAATCCTCACCAAAAAAAAAAAAATTAACATGTGTACTCTTTTCCCCATTAAACAGATGAGAAAATTGATGCTTAAAGAGCTTAAACACTTGTCCAGAACCACATAGCTACAGCATGGCAGAACAAGATTTTGAACCTGGACTGTCTGGGTTCATCACTTGTACTCTAACGACTATAACATAAAACTGGTACAACAATTGTGTTATTCAATACATAGAGTCATTTATGTTTTTCTAGTCTGTTAATCCATCCAGACCAGGAACTTCTGAAAGTAATGGATGGCTCCTTCTACCATAATTATTTATAATCCTTGTCTCTTTTTCTTTGGATATTTTAATTTAAAATGGGGGAGGGCAATCATAATGGAATGACATAATGATATCTGTTCCTCTCATAAGTGAAACTTGTTTGCCTCCACAGTCCCTCAATCAGTACCAGTTATCCTCTAGGTAAGCTGATTTTAAGAGTTATCAGTTATCACTTAAGAGTAATAGATGTAGGCCTAAAATTGCTACAAGGGGGATCATTATACTCCTGAAGCCCTCATCTGGCAGAATTGTTTAAAATTCTGGAAAATCAAATTCTTTCCAGACCACATAGGAATATGATCTGCTCTTTTTTCTTACTCTCAAGGAATCTAAAAAAAATAAGAAATGTAGCATTTCTGTGAAATCTGTTTTTCTTCCAGAAAAACAAACCAAAGAAAATATATATTTCTAAACTAGACTATGTAAAAATCCGTGTTTGTTTGCAGAAGTCCCAAGAGGAAATAATTTATCCTTTTGCAGACTAACTTAAGTGTACCTAATAACCTTCTTTTAAAAAAAAATAATTTTATTGTGTATATTTTAGATTTACAACATGATGTTATGGGATACATATAGATAGTAAAATGGTTATTATGGTGAGGCAGTTTAACATATCTATCATTTCACACAGTTACTTTTTTGTGACAAGAGCACTTAAAATATACTTATTTAACAAAAATCCTTAATACACTACAATTTGTTAACTTTATTCATGTTGTGCATTAGATCTCTAACCATGTTCATCCTACATGTCTGTTATTTTGTGTCCTTGACCTACATCTCACCATTTCCTCCCCCTACCCTCAGCTCATGTTAACCACTATTTCATTCTCTATCTCTATGTACTGGAGATCTTTTTGTTCCCACATATAAGTGAGATCATGCAATATTTCTCTTTCTGTTTCTGGTTTATTTCACCTAATATAATGTCCTCCAGACCCATCCATGTTGTAGCAAAAGGCAAGTTAGCAATACCTCTTCTGGGTCTATACCCAAAGGAGATGAAATCACCTTATTAAGATACCTGCATTCCCATGTTCATTGCAACATTATTCACAATGGCCAAGATATAGAAACAAACTAAATGTCCATTGACAGACAAATGGATAAAGAAAATGCATTGTATATGCAGTGGAATATTATTCAGCCTTAAAAAAAGAAGTGATCATAATAATCTTCCTGATGACATATCTGAGTAAGCATTACCAGTATTTACTATGTAGTCAAATATTCCATTTCTTGCAACCGTTAGTCTTAGTATGCTTTTACATGATGAATAGCCTCCCAATAAGAAAATTAATCAAAGAAAACAAAATCATATTTCTTCCTCAAAATTGTAATAGAATAAAATGTATAAAAGGGATGGAATAAGCAAGTAATACGTGATTTATTTTATAATCTCTTATGCACCAAGAGCCTATTTCCACTAAAGCAAATCTTAAAGCTCTCTCTATAAATAGGTATTTGATAGATGTTGACTTTTATTCTACCGGTTCTCATTAGTTTCATAATGGTAACTCTATGTAATTTTCAACTACCAGCTAGCAGACCTGGGTTTGGGAATTTGCAATGGTGAATTTATAATGCCCCCATCTTGCAGCTAGTCTACTTACGAAACGCAAAATAATTTTTACATCGCTCTTTTTAAAACAACATGAAGAAATAAACAAATCCACTGGCAGGAAAAACAATTATGTAATTCATTCTAAGTCATTCTGTGTATAATTTTCAAAATATGTATTACTTCAAGTTATCAAGTTTTCAGCTCCTTATGAGCAAAAACCTGGGAATTGGTGGATCTGGAGATGCATTTCTTTAAAAAAATTGGGCATAATAAAATGAACTGAAATACTTTCATAAGAATTACACATTTATTTTAAATTAATTCATAGATGCTGACTTATTCATTTAAAATTGTAAAAACGTTTTTACTATTAGACCATCTTGACTAATTTAATTAGTTAAAGACTTCATGCCAGTTTAATGTGCCTGGAGGTTTTTGCATACTTCATTATAAAAATAGAGTTTAAAGATAAAGACCATTCCTTGATAATGTTAATAAAAATCATGTAAATGGATAGAACAGTCAATAGGGCTTTGTGATTACATTACACCTATATCAGAAAAAAGAATGCTATTAATCCTCAAAATATTCATACCTTAAAAGCTATTTAACATTATGTAAATGTGATAAGGACTCTCCAATTTATTTCACAGTGATTTGGGCAGGAGGCAGCCAGCAGGCAAGAAAGAACAAGACCATATTGATGCGAACAGTCATTTGATAATATAGAAAAAGGAGTGGAAGGAGAGAAGAAAAAGTACAAGGAGAAGCTGGGAAGGAAGAGGGAGGGAGGAGAAGGAAAACTAATGCTTCTCGAGCACATCTAATTTGGCAGACATTCTTTTAAATATCTTGATATGAATTACTATATTGAAGCTTCATGAGCTCCATGAAGCAGGTGCTGGCATTATCTCCATTGCACAGAGGAGGAAGCAAAATAGAGGCCAAAATTCTTTTAAGCAAGTAGTTTGATTAGGGGAAGAAGAAGAAGAAGAAGAAGGAGAAGGAGAAGGAGAAGGAGAAGGAGAAGGAGGAATAGCCAGATGGGCAAAATGATAGATAGTTCCCTTCTGGGAGGGAAAAAATGTATTTACTATACATGTTATCTACTTGGGTTCTCTACTTGTTTTCTATTCAGGGACTCTTACACTGAGATCAGTGAGAAAAATTTTCCTTTTCTAGAGAACAGGAATTTTTGACCACCACCAGGCAGGTAGCAGTCTACCAAACTGAGCCTCTGTGTGAAGTAGGAATAAGTGTCTCCTCCTGGAGAAAGAATCACAAAAAATGGCAACTCAGTGGATGAATTAGGAAAAGCACCTGCTCCAGTTGAATGACACAAACAAGTTTATACTTCCTCTGGGCTAAAGTCACCCAAGGCCAGGGCCTACCACCTAGCAAGTGGGAGTTTAGCCTCCACTGGCCCGGTGCTGCTGTGCAGAAAATAGCCTGCTCAAGTGGTCACATACTGAATCCTAGGACGAGATGGGCATATTGATTTTGTTAAAAGGCTTCAAACCTAACTCTAACACCTTGGGAGACTCACTTTCCATCTTTCTCAGCACTTCCTTGAACCTGAGATTCAGAAACACCTTTCAGGTCTCAACATATTCTGTTACTTGGCGCAGAATATCTTCCCTCACCTTGTAGGCCCTTGCCTACCTGGATAATCACTATTCAACTCAATTCAAATGCCACTTCTTCTGGGAAGCTGTCCCTAAAGTCAAAGTTAAGAAATAAAACAGACCAGACAGGAGACTACCATTGCCTAAAGGAAAAATCCAATAGCCAAAAATAGACAAATTTTAGTCTGAGAGTCAGACTGAAAACAAGAAATATTTTGGGTTTAATTCCTATTCTTTCCTCAATTGACTACAATTAAATGGTGAGGAAACCAGTGCTCATGTGCTCACACCGCAAATGTTCTTGCAATCCCTACTATTTCCAAATTAAAAGAGCTTTAAAGCCCAATCTAAGTGACCCTCAGTAAACTCCTTGAAGCCTCTGTTTCCTCAGTTTTAAAATGGGCATAATAATACCTACCTTAGCAAAGTGTTATGTAGCAAATGCTCTCTAAATGTTAGCCCCTTCCCTTCCCTTAGACTGTGAAAGATATGCTTACGTTTCCCCAACCCCACTAATCTATAAACTTCTAAAGCCAAAACCATGTCTTATTTACATAGATTCTCTTTGTATCTTTCTTCTCACTCCACCTCTACCTCATCACAATATCTAACACATAAACATTTGCTCAATAAATATTTGATAAATGCACACAAAGATGGCTTACAGTACCTGCCTGTAAGGACTTTAATAATTTATAGGAGAGATGCCAAAATTTCCCAAAGAAGCTGTGGTATGCAACAAAGGAAGAACTGATGCTTATCAGTTTTCTTTTCCTCATCTCTGATGTTTACTAATTTATTCATGTAACAAACGTTTTTAAAGTGTCTGTTTTTTTAAAGTGCATATGTCATGTGGAAAGCACTGTAGTTGGAGTTATGGGGAGAGGAGGGAAAAGTGCAGGGGACCCTTTCCCTTGAAGTCTAAATGAAGAAAAAAGAAATTTATCTGAATAATTAGAAGAGACCATTGACTATGATGATCACAATATAGAGAATCAACCCAAAATGCCAGAGCCATTCAAAAAGGAGAGTGATGATCTGTAAGGCAGCAGTGTGAGAGAACAAGCCTGTGGTTTTCCATGTCCTCATGGAAACCTGATAAGGCAAAAGAAAGCTCTAAATACTTTGTCAAGCATAAAGACAGGGAAGTAGGTGCCAAAGATGTTGGCTTTATTACTTTTATGGTTAGTACATATTGTACCATGATGCAAAGAAGATTAGAAGACATACACCACAATGCCAATAGGTATTAACTCAATGTGATCAGATTATAATTTTTTTCTAGCCGTGTATCTTTTTTTTGTCTTTTTAACATTTGTTCATTTACCATAGGTTAACCATTGGTTCTATAATTACAAGATAAAACCATTAGCCCTTCTTATTTATCTAATGTTCTTACATGCTACCAAATAATAATATAAATGAATATGGCATCTTTAATGCACTTTCCCTGTGCTTTTAAACATAAAGTTTCCCATAATTAAGTGGCATCCATTTCTTATTTCTCTTTGAATCATTTAAATTATGTATTTTTCATGAGAAAAGCATCCCTTATTCAATAAAGAGTGCTGAGAACACTGGCTAACCATATGCAGAAGACCGAAATTATCCCTACCTATCATACAGGTCTTTCTGCTGTTGGGAAGTTTCTTTCAGCAGAGGCACAGTTGCAGTGCTGGACTCAGCAGGAAAAGTCTGCAGCTCTACCCCAACAATCAGACAATTCTGGTGCTTGTGAAAGATCTTGGAAAATAGCACTTCTTTTGCCTTCGTCTACCACTGCAGACACAACTGGGGCTTCTCCCACAGGAGCTTGGCATGGGTACACCTATAGACAGCATTTCTGGAACACTTCAGGGTGACTGCATCCTCACAGAAAGAGCACCCTCCAGGTTCAGGCTTACATGAGAGATAGAGTTACAGTTCCTTTCTACTTGGAACATCAACATTCCTGCAGAGGAAAAGAGGTGGCTTTCTGATCTGAATAGCCAGCACACTGGGTCAGGATTATGTCTGGGAGGTGGATCACTTTCCTGCTTGCCTGGCAGGGGAGCTGAGGTGACTTCCACTCTTCCCCTGATAAGATCTCAGTGTGTTTTACTGAGAGGTCTCCCAGTCACCTCTGTCAAGGCTGGAACTTCTGCCTACCATCAGGTATTGCATTTATCTACCTGCTTCAGCCACAACTGGTTTCCACACAGCTACACCCCTATTGACCCAGAGTCAGAAATATTCAACTTAGTAAATAAAATACTGAGGGGGAAATAAATAAATAAGTGCATACCACAGGGGAATTAGATAAGTTTCAAGACACCTCTACCATACCAACCTTATAGGAGAAAGTGGACTTGCTCACATACCAAGCACATTGCTATTACAGCCAGCATCTGAGAAAGCCTCATAAAAAGACTGCCTATAACCAAGAACTCATACAGAGTCTTCACCCATGAAAGCACCAAGAACTGAATTAGGCTACAATAAACCATAAACATGAAAGTAATATCTTTAAAGGGGAAAAAAAGAAATTAAAAAAACAGTCAAATCAAAAATGAATTCAAGAATAATTATAAGAAATAGTCTACACAAATAAAAAGAAACCAGAAAAATAATTCTGATAATATGACAAAACAGGATTCTATAGTACCCCTAAAAAAACACAGTAGGTTTCCAGCAATGGATCCTAACCAAGATGAAATCTTTCAAATACCAGATAAATAATTCAAAAGTTTGACCAGGTGCAGTGGCTCACTCCTGTAATCTTAGCACTTTGGGAGGCTGAGATGGGAGGATCACTTGAGCTCAGGAGTTTAAGATTATCCTGGGCAACATAGTGAGAACTCATCTCTACATGAAGAAGAAGAAGAAAAAGAAGGGTGGGGGAGGAGGATGAAGGGGAGGGGGAGGTAGAGTAGGAAGTAGGAGGGGCAGGAGAAGAAGGAGGATGAGGAGAAAAGAAGGAGAAGGAGGAGGAGGGAAAGGAAGGAAGGAAAGAAAGAAAGAAAGAAAGAAAGAAAGAAAGAAAGAAAGAAAGAAAAGACATTGATTATTAAGCTCCACAAGGAGATACCAGAGAAAGGTGAAAACCAACAGAGAAATTTTAAAAACAATTCAGGATATGAATGAAAATTTTTCTAAAGAAATAGACATCTTAAAGGAAAATCAATCAAAACCTCTGGAAATAAAAAATACATTTAGGAAATTACAAAATGCCGTGGAAAATGTTAACAAAAAACTAGAACAGGTAGAAGAAAGAATCTCGGAGCTCAAAGACAACACAAGAAAAATTAACCCAATCAGACAAAAATAAAGAAAAAAGAATCAAAAAGAAATGAACAACATCTCTAAGAAATATGGGAATTCATAAAATGGCCAAACCTAAGAATAACTGGTGTTCCTGAGAGAGAAGAGAAAGCAAAAACTTTGGAAAACTCATTTGAGGGAATAATTGAGGAAAACTTCCCTGGCCTTGCTAGAGATCTAGATATCCAAATACAAAAAGTTCAAAGGAATCGTGGAAGAGTCATGGCAAAGAGGACGTCACCAAGGCATTTAGTCATCAGGCTATTCCTTTCTACTTGGAACATCAACATTCCTGCAGATGAAAAGAGGTGACTTTTCAGAAAAAAATTCTAAAAGCAGTGAGACAAAAGTATCAGGTAACCTATAAAGGAAAACCTAACATCAGACCTCTCAGCAGAAACCTTACAAGCTAGAAAGGATTGGGCTTCTATCTTTAGCCTCATTAAACAGAATAACTGTCATCCAATAATTTTGTTTCCAGCAAAACTAATTTCATAAATGAAGGAGTAATAAAGTCATTTTCAGGCAAATAAATGCTAAGGAAATTTGTCACTGCCACTCCAGCCCTACAAGAAATGCTAAAATGGGGGTTTTCTCCAAGATGGCCGAAAAGGAACAGCTACAGTCTACAGCTCCCAGTGTGAGCAATGCAGAAGACAGGTGATTTCTGCATTTCCAACTGAGGTACCAGGTTCATCTCACTGGGGCTTGTCAGACAGTGGGTGCAGAACTGTGGGTGCAGTGCACCGAGCATGAGCCAAAGCAGTGCGAGGCATCACCTCACCCAGGAAGTGCAAGGGATCAGGGAATTCTCTTTCATAGCCAAGTAAAGCTGTGACAGACGGCACCTGGAAAATCGAGTCACTCCCACCCTAATACTGCACTTTTCCAATGGTCTAAGCAAACGGCACACCAGGAGATTATATCCCGCGCATGGCTCAGAGGGTCCAACGCCCACGGAGCCTCGCTCATTGCTAGCACAACACTCTGAGATTGAACTGCAAGGCGGCATCAAGGCTAGGGGATGGGCCCCTGCCATTGCTGAGGCTTGAGTAGGTAAACAAAGCAGCCAGGAAGCTCAAACTGGGTGGAGCCCACTGCAGCTCAAGGAGGCCTGCCTGCCTCTATAGACTCCATATCTGCGGGAAGGGCATAGCCAAACAAAAGGCAGCAGAAACCTCTGCAGACTTAAATGTCCCTGTCTGACAGCTTTGAAGAGAGTAGTGGATCTCCCAGCATGGAGTCTGAGATCTGAGAATGGTCAGACTGCCTCCTCAAGTGGGTCCCTGACCCCCGAGTAGCCTATCTGGGAGGCATCGCCCAATAGGGGCAGACTGATACCTCACACAGGCAGGTACCCCTCTGAGATGAAACCTCCAGAGGAACAATCAGACAGCAACATTTGCTGTTCAGCAATATTCACTGTTCTGCAGTCTCTGCTGCTGATACCGAGGCAAACAGGGTCTGGAGTGGACTTCCAGCAAACTCCAACAGATCTGCAGCTGAGGGTCCTGACTGTTAAAAGGAAAACTAGCAAACAGAAAGGACATCCACACCAAAACCCCATCTGTATGTCACCATCATCAAAGACCAAAGGTAGATAAAACCACAAAGATGGGGAAAAAACAGAACAGAAAAAACTGAAAATTCTAAAAATCAGAGCTCCTCTCCTCCTCCAAAGGAACACAGCTCCTCACCAGCAATGGAACAAAGCTGGACAGAGAATGACTTTGACGAGTTGAGAGAAGAAGGCTTCAGACAATCAAACTTCTCTGAGCTAAAGGAGGAAGTTTGAACCCATGGCAAAGAAGTTAAAAACCTTGAAAAAAGATTAGATGAATGGCTAACTAGAATAAGCAATGCCAAGAAGTCCTTAAAGGACCTAATGGAGCTGAAAACCACAGAACGAGAACTACATGACGAATGCACAAGCTTCAGTAGCCGATTCGATCAACTGGAAGAAAGGGTGTCAGTGATTGAAGATCAAATGAATGAAATGAAGTGAGAAGTTTAGAGAAAAAAGAGTAAAAAGAAACAAAACAAAGCCTCCACGAAATATGGGACTATGTGAAAAGACCAAATCTACGTCTGATTGGTGTACCTGAAAGTGACGGGGAGAATGGAACCAAGTTGGAAAATACTCTGCAGGATATTTTCCAGGAGAACTTCCCCAACCTAGCAAGTCAGGCCAACATTTAAATTCAGGAAATACAAAGAACACCACAAAGATACTCCTCGAGAAGAGCAACTCCAAGACACATAATTGTCAGATTCAGCAAAGTTGAAATGAAGGAAAAAATGTTAGGGGCAGCCAGAGAGAAGGGTCCGGTTACCCACAAAGGGAAGCCCATCAGACTAACAGCTGATCTCTTGGCAGAAACTCTACAAGCCAGAAGAGAGTGGGGGCCAATATTCAACATTCTTAAAGAAAAGAATTTTCAACCCAGAATTTCATATCCAGCCAAATTAAGCTTCATAAGTGAAGGAGAAATAAAATACTTTAAAGACAAGCAAATGCTGAGAGATTTTGTCACCAACAGGCCTGCCCTACAAGAGCTCCCAAAGGAAGCACTAAACATGGAAAGGAACAATCAGTACCAGCCACTGCAAAAACATGCCAAATTGTAAAGACCATCGAGGCTAGGAAGAAACTGCATCAACTAAAGAGCAAAATAACCAGCTAACATCATAATGACAGGATCAAATTCACACATAACAATATTAACCTTAAATGTAAATGGGCTAAATGCTCCAATTAAAAGACACAGACTGGCAAATTGGATAAAGAGTCAAAACCCATCAGTGTGCTGTATTCAGGAAACCCATCTCACGTGCAGAGACACACATAGGCTCAAAATAAAGGGATGTAGGAAGATCTATCAAGCAAATGGAAAACAGAAAAAGGCAGGGATTGCAATCCTTGTCTCTGATAAAACCAGACTTTAAATAAACAAAGATCAAAAGAGACAAAGAAGGCCATTACATAATAGTAAAGGGATTAATTCAACAAGAAGAGCTAACTATCCTAAATATGTATGCACCCAATACAGGAGCACCCAGATTCATAAAACAAGTCCTTACAGACCTACAAAGAGACTTAGACTCCCACACAATAATAATGGGAGACTTCAACACCCCACTGTCAACAATAGCCAGATCAACGAGACAGAAAGTTAACAAGGATATCTAGGAATTGAATTCAGCTCTGCACCAAGCCGACCTAATAGACATCTACAGAACTCTCCACCCCAAATCAACAGAATATACATTCTTCTCAGTACCACATCACACTTATTCCAAAATTGACCACATAGTTGGAAGTAAAGCACTCCTCAGCAAATGTAAAAGAACAGAAATTATAACAAACTGTCTCTCAGACCACATTGCAATCAAACTAGAACTCAGGATTAAGAAACTCACTCAAAACTGCTCAACTACATGGAAACTGAACAACCTGCTCCTGAATGACTACTGGGTCCATAACGAAATGAAGGCAGAAATAAAGATGTTCTTTGAAACCAATGAGAACAAAGACACAACATACCAGAATCTCTGGGGCACATTTGAAGCAGTGTGTAGAGGGAAATTTATAGCACTAAATGCCCACAAGAGAAAGCAGGAAAGAACTAAAATTGACACCCTAACATCACAATTAAAAGAACTAGAGAAGCAAGAGCAAACACATTCAAAAGATAGCAGAAGGCAAGAAATAACTAAGATCAGAGCAGAACTGAAGGAGACAGAGACACAAAAAACCCTTCAAAAAAATCAATGAATCCAGGAGCTGGTTTTTGAAATGATCAATGAAATTGATAGACCACTAGCAAGACTAATAGAGAAGAAAAGAGAGAAGAATCAAATAGACGCAACAAAAAATGATAAAGGGGATATCACCACCAATCCCACAGAAATACAAACTACCAACAGAGAATACTATAAACACCTCTATGCAAATAAACTAGAAAATCTAGAAGAAATGAATAAATTCCTGGACACATACACCATCCCAAGACTAAACCAGGAAGAAGTTGAATCTCTGAATAGACCAGTAACAGGCTCTGAAATTGAGGCAATAATTAATAGCCTACCAACCAAAAAAAGTATAGGACCAGATAGATTCACAGCCGAATTCTACCAGAGGTTCAAGGAGGAGCTGGTACCATTCCTTCTGAAACTATTCCAATAAATAGAAAAAGAGGGAATCCTCCCTAACTCATCTTATGAGGCCAGTATCATCCTGATACCAAAGCCTGGCAGAGACATAACAAAAAAAGAGAATTTTAGACCAATATCCCTGATGAACATTGATGCAAAAATCCTCAATAAAATACTGGCAAACTGAATCCAGCGGCACATCAAAAAGCTTATCCACCATGATCAAGTGAGCTTAATCCCTGGGATGCAAGTCTGGTTCAACATATGCAAATCAATAAACGTAATCCAGCATATAAACAGAACCAATGACAAAAACCACATGATTATCTCAATAGATGCAGAAAAGGCCTTTGACAAAATTCAACAACGCTTCATGCTAAAAACTCTCAATAAATTAGATATTGATAGGACGTATCTCAAAATAATAAGAGCTATTTATGACAAACCCACAGCCAATATCATACTGAATGGGCAAAAACTGGAAGCATTCCCTTTGAAAACCTGCACAAGACAGGGATGCCCTCTCTCACCATTCCTATTCAACATAGTGTTGGAAGTTCTGGCCAGGGCAATCAGGCAGGAGAAAGAAATAAAGGGTATTCAGTTAGGAAAAGAGGAAGTCAAATTCTCCCTGTTTGCAGATTACATGATTGTATATCTAGAAAACCCCATCATCTCAGCCCAAAATCTCCTTAGGCTGATAAGCAACTTCAGCAAAGTCTCAGGATATAAAATCAATGTACAAAAGTCACAAGCATTCTTATACACCAATAACAGACAAACAGAGAGCCAAATCAGGAGTGAACTCCCATTCACAATTGCTATAAAGAGAATAAAATACCTAGGAATCCAACTTACAAGGGATGTGAAGGACCTCTTCAAGGACAGCTACAAACCACTGCTCAATGAAATGAAAGTGGACACAAACAAATGGAAGAACATTCCATGCTCATGGATAGGAAGAATCAATTTCATGAAAATGGCCATACTGCTCAAGGTAATTTATAGATTCAATGCCATCTCCATTAAGCTACCAATGACTTTCTTCACAGAATTGGAAAAAACTACTTTAAAGTTCATATGGAACCAAAAAAGAGCCCGCATCGCCAAGTCAATCCTAAGCCAAAAGAACAAAGCTGGAGGCATCCGGCTACCTGACTTCAAACTATTCTACAAGGCTACAGTAACCAACACAGCATGGTACTGGTACCAAAACAGAGATATAGACCGATGGAACAGAACAGAGCCCTCAGAAATAATACCACACATCTACAACTATCTGATCTTTGACAAATCTGATAAATACAAGAAATGGGAAAAGGATTCCCCATTTAATAAATGGCGCTGGAAAAACTGGCTAGCCATATGTAGAAAGCTGAAACTGGATCCCTTCCTTACACCTTATACAAAAATTAATTCAAGATTGATAAAAGACTTAAATGTTAGACCTAAAGCCAGAAAAACACTAGAAGAAAACCTAGGCAATACCATACAGGACATAGGCATGGGCAAGGACTTCATGTCTAAAATACCAAGAGCAATGGCAACAAAAGACAAAATTGCCAAATGGGATCTAATTAAACTCAAGAGCTTCTGCACAGCAAAAGAAACTACCATCAGAGTGAACAGGCAATCTACAGAATGGGAGAAAATTTTTGCAATCTACTCCTTTGACAAAGGGCTAATATCCAAAATCTACAAAGAACTCAACCAAATTTACAAGAAAAAACAAACAACCCCATCAACAAGTGGGCAAAGGATATGAACAGACACTTCTCAAAAGAAGACATTTATGCAGCCAACAGACACATGAAAAAATGCTCATCATCACTGGCCATCAGAGAAATGCAAATCAAAACCACAATGAGATATCATCTCACACCAGTTAGAATGGCGATCATTAAAAAGTCAGGAAACGGCCGGGCGCGGTGGCTCACGCCTGTAATCCCAGCACTTTGGGAGGCCGAGGCGGGTGGATCATGATGTCAGGAGATCGAGACCATCCTGGCTAACAAGGTGAAACCCCGTCTCTACTAAAAATACAAAAAATTAGCCGGGCGCGGTGGCGGGCGCCTGTAGTCCCAGCTACTCGGGAGGCTGAGGCAGGAGAATGGCGTGAACCCGGGGAAGCGGAGCTTGCAGTGAGCCGAGATTGCGCCACTGCAGTCCGCAGTCTGGCCTGGGCAACAGAGCGAGACTCCGTCTCAAAAAAAAAAAAAAAAAGTCAGGAAACAACAGGTGCTGGAGAGGATGTGGAGAAATGGGAACACTTTTACACTGTTGGTGGGACTGTAAACTAGTTCAACCATTGTGGAAGACTGTGTGACTATTCCTCAGGGATCTAGAACTAGAAATACCATTTGACCCAGCCATCCCATTACTGGGTGTATACCCAAAGGAATATAAATCATGCTGCTATAAAGACACATGCACACATATGTTTATTATGGCACTATTCACAATAACAAAGACTTGGAACCAACCCAAATGTCCAACAATGATAGACTGGATTAAGAAAATGAGGCACATATACACCATGGAATACTATGCAGCCATAAAAAATGATGAGTTCATGTCCTTTGTAGGGACATGGATGAAGCTGGAAACCATCATTCTCAGCAAACTATCGCAAGGACAAAAAAACCAAACACCACATGTTCTCACTCATAAGTGGGAATTGAACAATGAGAACACTTGAACACAGGAAGGGGAACATCACACACTGGGGCCTGTTGTGGGGTGGGGGGAGTGGGGAGGGATAGCATTAGGAGATATACCTAATGTAAATGATGAGTTAATGGGTGCAGCACACTAACATGGCACATGTATATATATGTAACAAACCTGCATGTTGTGCACATGTACCCTAGAACTTAAAGTATAATAAAAAATATATATATATAATAGAAATGCTAAAATGAGTTCTAAATCTTAAAATGAAATCTCAGTGTACACGAGAATACAACTACTTGAAAGCGTAAAATTCACAGGGCCTATGAAACAATAACACAATGAAGAAAAAAAGTATCTAGTTAACAATTAGCATGATGAATTGAACAATACCTCACATCTCAATATTAACATTGAACATAAATAGCTTAAATGCTCCTCTTAAAAAATACAGATTGGCAGAATGTATTTTAAAAAATCACAAACTAAATATCTGCTGTCTTCAAGAGACCTACCTAACATGTGAGAATTCATATACATTCAAGGCAAAAGGCTGTAAAAAAGATATTCCATGCAAACGTAAATTGAAAGCAAGCAAGAGTAGCTATTCTTATATCAGATAAAACAGACTTTAAAGCAACGACAGTGAAAAAAGAAAAAGAAATTCCCTATATAATGATAAAAGGATCAACCCAACAAGAAGATATTACAATCCTAAATTTATATGCACCTATCACTGGAGATCCCAGATTTATAAAACAATTCCTTAAACCTGGGAAACGAGATACACAGCAACACAATATTAATGGGCTACTTGAACATTCTGCTGACTGCACTAGACAAATCATTGAGACATAAAGTCAACAAAAAAAATGGACTTAAACTATAATCTAGAACAAGTGGCTCTAACACATATTTACAGTATATTCTACCCAAGAACTATAGAACATACATTCTTTTCGTCAGCACATGGAACATTCTCGAAGACAGACCGTGTGATAGGCCACAAAACAAGTCTAAATAAATTTTTAAAAATCAAAATTATATCAGGTATCTTCTCAGACCACTGCAGAATAAAACTAAAAATCAACTGCCAAAGGAACCCTCAAAACTATACAAATACATGGAAATTAAACAATCTGCTCCTGAATGATTTTTGGGATTAACAATGAAATCAAGAAGGAAATTTAAAAATTCTTTGAAATGAATTATAATAGTGACACAAGTTATTAAAACCTCTGGGATAAAACAAAAGCAGTGCTAAGAGGAAAGTTTATAGCAGTAAATGTCTACATCAAAAAGTCTCAAAGATCATAAATTGGCAACCTAATGTTACATCTCAAGGAACTAGAGAAACAGGAACAAACTAAACCCAAAGCTAGCAGCAGAAAAAAAAAATAACAACGATCAGAGCAGAACTAAATAAAATTGAAACAAAAAATCAAAAGATCAATGAAACTAATATCTGACTCTTTAAAACGATAAACAAAGTTGATAACCATTAGATAGATTAACCAACTAAAGAAAAGAGAAGATTCGAATAAGCTCAATTTGAAATTAAACTGGAGACGTTACAACCAATACCACAGAAATACAAAAGATCATTCAAGATTACTATGAACAACTTTATGCACGCAAACTAGATAATCTAGAGGAAAATGATAAATTCCTGGAAATATACAATCCTCCTAGATTAAATCAGGAAGAAATAAGAACCCTGAACAGATCAATAACAAGCATCGAGATTAAATCAATAATAATAATAATAATAAAAAGCCCAGGGCCAGATAGATTCACAACTGAATTCTCTTTTTGTTTTGTTTTGTTTTGTTTTGTTTGTTTGTTTGTCTTCAGACAGAGTCTAACTCTGTCGCCCAGGCTGGAGTGCAGTGGCATAATCTCGGCTCACTGCAACCTCTGCCTTCCTGGTTCAAGCAATTCGTCTGCCTCAGCCTCTCAAGAATCTGGGACTACAGGCATGTGCCACCACACTCAGCTAATTTTTGTATTTTTAGTACAGATGAGGTTTCACCATGTTGGCCAGGACAGTCTTGAACTCCTGGCCTTAAGCAATTCACCTGCCTTGGCCTCCCAAAGTGCTGGAATTACAGGCAAGAGCACCTGGCCAGATTCACAGCTGAATGCTACCAGACATTCAAAGAAGAATTAATACCAATCCTACTGAAACTATTCCAAAAGATCAAGAAGAAAGAATCCTCCATAACTCGTTCTATGAAGCCAGTATCATCCTCATAACAAAACCAGGAAATGACATAACAACAACAACAACAAAAAAACTAACAATCAATATCCTTGATGAACATAGATGCAAAAATCTTCAACAAAATACTAGCTAACTGAATCCAACACCACATCAAAAAGATAATACACTATGATCAAGTGGGCTTCATCCAAAGGATGTACAGATGGTTTAGCATACTCAAGTCAATAAATGTGACACATCACATAAACAGAATTAAAGACAAAAGTCATATAATAATTTCAGTAGATGCAGAAAAAGCATTTGATAAAATACAGCATTGCTTTATCATAAAACCTCTCAACAAACTATCCATAGAGGGAACTCACCTCAAAATAATAAAAGTCATATATTAAAAAAACTCACAGCAAACATCATACTGAATGGGGAAAATTTGAAAGCATTAGCCCTGGGACCTGGAACAAGACATGGAGGCCCACTTTCACCACTTCAATTTGACATAGTACTGGAAGTCCTAGCCAGAGCAATCAGGCAAGAGAAAGAAATAGAGGGCATCAAATTGGAAAAGAGAAAATCAAACTATCACTGTTGGCTGATAATACGATGATATACCTAGAAAACCCTAAAGATTCATCCAAAAGACTCCTAGATTTGATAAATGAATTCAGTAGTCTCAGGTTACAAAATGAGTGTATACAAATCAGTAGCACCACTATATATCAACAACAGCCAAGCTGAGAATCAAGTCAAGAGCTCAATCCCTTCTACAAGAGCTGCAGAAAATAAAATAAAATACCTAGGAATATACTTAACCAAGGAGGTGAAAAATCTCTGCAAGGAGAACTACAAAACACTGCTGAAAGATATCATAGATGAAACAAACAAATGAAAGCATATCCAATGCTCATAAATTGGAAGAAACAATATCTTTAAAATGACCATACTGCCCAAACCAATCTACAGGTCCAATGTAATTCCTATTCAAAGTTCCAATATCATTTTTCACAAAATTAGAAAAAAAAATCCTAAAATTCATATGGAACCAAAAAGGAGCCCAAATAGTCAAAGCAATCCTAAGGGAAAAAACAAATCTGGAGGCATCACATTAACCAGCCTTCAAATTATACTACAAGTCTATAGTTACCAAAACAGTATGGTACTGGCTTAAAAGTAGGCACATAGACTAATGGAACAGAATAGAGAACCCAGAAATAAAGCCAAATACTTACAACCAACTGATCTTTGACAAAGCATACAAAAACATAAATTGGGGGAAAGGACACTGTGTTTAATAAATGGTGCTGAGAAAACTGGCTAGCCACAGATAGAAGAGTAAAACTGGATCCATATCTTTCACCTTATACAAAAATCATCTCAAGATGGATCAAAGACTTAAATCTAAGACGTGAAACCATAAAACATCTAGAAGATAACATTGGAAAAACTCTTCTGGACATTAGCCTAGGCAAAGGATTCATGAGTAAGACCCCCAAAGCAAGTGCAACAAAACAAAAATATATAAATGGAACCTAATCAAACTAAAAATCTTTTGTACAGCAAAAGAAATAATCATCAGAGTAAACAGACAACCCATATAATGGGAGCAAATATTTGCAAACTATGCATCTGACAATGGACTAATATCCAGAATCTACAAGGAACTCAAACAAATCATCTAGAAAAAAACAAATGAGCCCATCAAAAGAAAAGTGGACACATGACATGAATAGACATTTCTCAAAAGAAAATATACAAATGGCCAGTAAACATATGAAAAAATGCTCAACATCACTAATCATCAGGGAAATGAAAATTTAAACCACAAGCAAGATACCGCCTTACTCCTGCAAGAGTAGCCATAATTAAAAAGTCAGAAAACAATAGATGTTGGTGTGGACATGGTGAAAAGGGAGCACTTTTACACTGCTGGTGAGAATGTAAATTAGTACAACCACTATGGAAAACAGTATGGAGATTCCTTAAAGAACCAAAAGTAGAACTACCATTTGATCCAATCTATCAAGATTGAATCATGAGGAAATAGAAAATCTGAAGATATCAATAATGCATAAGAAGATTGAATAAGTAATCAAAAACCTCCCAACAAAGAAAAGCCTAAGACCTGATGGCTTCACTGGTGAATTCTACCAAACCTTTAAAGAGAACTTACACCAACCTTTCTCAAATTCTTTCAGAAAATGGAAAAGGTAAGTGGCTTAGTCTGTTTTGAATTGCTATAAAGGAACAACTGAGGCTGGATAATTTATGAAGAAAAGAGGTTTATTTTGCTCATGGTTCATCAGACAGTACATGAAGCATGGCAGCAGCATCTGCTTCTGGTGAGAACTTCAGGCTTCTTCCACTCATGGCAGAAGGTAAAGGAGAGCCACATGTGCAAATCGCATGGCAAGAGGAAGAAAGACAGAGGGAGTGGAGGAAGTGCCATGTTCTTTTCAACAACTAGTTCTCACAGGAACTAAGACTGGGAACTCACTCACTCCCACAAGAAGGGCACAAAGTCACTCAGAAGGGATCTGTCCCTCATGACCTAAACACTTCCCACCAGTTCCCACCTCCAATAATGGAGATCATATTTCAACAAGCGACATGGTGGGACCAAACACACCATATCTAAACCATAGCACAGGACAAATATCCCAATGAACACAGATGCAAAAATCCTCAACAAAATACTAGTGAACAAAATTAAACTACAATGTAAGAGGATCATATACCATGACCAAGCAAGATTTATTACTGGGATACAAGAATGGTTCAACATATGCAAATCAATACATGTTATACACCACGTTAACAGAATATAAAGTAAAAATCATATGATCCTCTCAATAAATGCAGAAAAAGCATTTGACAACATTCAGCATCCTTTCATGAAAAAAAAACCTCTCAAAATATCAGATATAGAAGGAATGTGCCTCAATATAATAGAAGCCATAGATAACAAGCCCAAAGCTAACGTCATACCCAACAGTGGAAAGCTGAATACTTTTTCTCTAAGATTAGGGACAATACAAGGATGCCCAATTTCACCATTTCTTTTCAACGTAGTACTGAAAGTTCTAGCCAGAGCAATTAGGCAATAAAAAAGAAACAAAAGGCATTCAAAGAAGAAAGAAAGAAGTTATACTGTCTCTGTTTGCAGATTACATACATGATCTCATATGCAGAAAATCCTAAAGACACCACCAAAACCTGTTAAAATGACTAAATGAATTCAGTAAAGCTTCAGGATAAAAAAAATCAGCATACAAAAACGAGTTGTGTTTCTATACATTAACAACAAGCTATCAGAAAAGAAATGAAGAAATAGTTTCATTTGTCATAGCATCAAAAATAAAATACTTAGGAATAAATTTAATTAAGAAGATGAAAAATCTATACACCGAAAACCATAAAACATTGATAAAAGGAATTGAAGAAGACACAGATAAATGCAAAGATATCTATATCTCATATTCATGAATGAGGAGAATTAATACTGTTAAAATGTTCATACCACTCAAAGCAATCTATAGATGCAATGCGATCCCTATCAAAATTCCCATGTCATTTTTCAGAGAAATAGAAAAAAAATCCTAAAATTTATATGGAATCACAAAAGACTCTGAATACCCAAAGCAATATTGAGCAAGAAGAACAAAGCTGGCATCACACTACTTGATTTCAAAATATACTACAAAGGTATAGGAATCAAAACAGTATGGTACTGGCATAAAAGCAGACATATAGATCAATGAAACAGAATAGAGAGCCCAGAAATAAATCCGCATGTTTATAGCCAATTGGTTTTTGACAAGGTTCCAAAAACAAACAATGAGGAAAAAACAGTCTCTTCAATAAATGATATTGGAAGAACTGTATATTCACATGCAGAAGAGTGAAATTGGACCCTTAACTCACACCTTATCAAAAAAAATTAACTCAGGCCAGGCACACTGGCTCATGCCTATAATACCAGCACTTTGGGAGGCCAAGGAGAAAGGATTGCTTGAGCTCAAGAGTTTGAGACCAGCCTGGTCAACATAGACCCAATATCTACAATCAATCAGTCAATCAATCAATCAATAAGCTAGGCATGTTATCATGTGCCTATAGTCCCAGCTACTCAAGAGGCCAAGATGGGAGGATCCCGTCAGCCCAAGAAGTTGAGGCTGCGGTGAGCCATGATCACACTACTGTACTCTAGCCTCAGTGACACAGTAAAAGCCCACCTCCAAAAAATAAAAAGTAAATCAACAGAGAATTGATTAAAGATTTAAATGTAAGACCTGAGACTATAAAACTACTAGAAGAAAACATAGGGGAAAAGCTTCTTGATATTGATCTGAGCAATGAATTTTTAGATATGACCCCAGAAGCACAGGCAACAATGCAAAAATAGACAAATGGAATGCATGCTTCTGCACAGCAAAGGAAACAATCAACAAAGTGAAGAGACAATACAGAATGGGAGAAAATACTGCAAACCCTACATCTGATAAGCAGTTAATATCCAAAAGATACAAGGAAATTAAATAACTCAATAGTAAGAAAACAAACAATCTAATTTTTTAATGGGCAAATTACCTAAATGGATATTTCTCAAAAGACGTGGCCAACAACAGGTATATGAAAAAATGTTCAAATAATTAATTACCAGGGAAATTCAAATCAAAACTACAATGAGATATTACCTCACACATCTTAGAAGAGCTATCATCAAAAGACAAAAAATAATAAGAATATAGAGAAAAAGGGATAAAAGTAGTAGAACTTTCTCAAAAAATTAAATATAGAACTACTATATGATCCAACAATCCCACTTCTTTGTGTATACCAATAGGAAATGAAATCAGTATTCTGAAGAAATACATCTACTCCCATGTTCATGGCAGCATTATAACAATAGCAAAGATGTGGAATCAGTGTAGGTGTCCATCAACACACAAATAGATAAAGAAAATGTGATGTATAGATATGCAATGGAATATTATTCAGCCTTAAAAAAAGAAGAAAGTATTGTCACTTGTGACAACATGGATGGACCTGAAGGACATTATGTTAAGTGAAATAAGCCAGATGCAGAGAGACAAAAACTGCATGCTCTCACTTATATGTGGGATCTAAAAATGATGAATTAGAAACAGATTAGTAGGGCAGTGGTTGCCAGGAACTAGAGAGTGGGGGAAATGGGGAGATCTTGGTTAAAGGGTACAAAGTTGCTAGGCAGGATGAATAAGTTCTGGAGATCTAATGATAGCAAGGTGACTATAGTTAGTATACTGCAATATATACTGGAAATTTGCTAAAAGAGTAGATCTTAAATGTTCTCACCACATACTCACACACAAAATGGTAACTAGGTGAGTTGATGGATATGTTTGTTAGCTTGATTATGGTAATTATTCCATAATGTAAACATATATAAAAATTATGTTGTATACCTTAAATATATACAAGTTTTGTCAGTTATACCTAAATAAGGTTGGAAAATAAATAAATAATAAAGTTTGGGTAACATTCTTATTAAAAAATGGAGCTTAAATATAAAAGTTAAAACAATAAAACTTCTAGGAGATAACATAATAAAATATCATAATTACTCTGCAGTGGGCAATGGTTTCTTAAACAGGACCCACAAGCGCTAATCATAAGACTATAAATTGGACTTTATTATAATAATGACTTCTGTTCATCAAAAGACATGATTAAGAGAGTAAAAGCGTAAATCACAGACTGGGAAAATATATTCCCAGTATATATGTCTGACAGAGAATAAGTATCTCAAAAATATATTTTTAAATACTACAAGCCAATAAGAAAAAGACAACTCAATTTTTTAGATGTGGAAAGGTTTGAATAAGCACTTCATAAAAGGGAATATCGTAATTGTTAATGAGCATATTAGAGCTGTTCAACATTATCAGTCATTGTTAATCATTAGGGAAATGCAGATTAAAATCATAATGAGATATGATTACAACTTCACTAGAACGACTGAAACTAAAAAGGACTGATAATTTCAAGTAAAATCTTATGAGGTGAGGATGTGGAGCAACTGTATACACTCTCACACACTAGTGTGACTGTAAATTGGTAGAACTATTTTAGAAAACCGTATACACTATGACTCAGCAGTTCCATTTATGGATATATACCTGAAAGAAATGAGTGCTTATAAAGCATATCTACAAGAATATTCATAGCTGCTTTTGGGCTAGGAGCAGTGACTCATGCCTATAACCCCAACATTTTGGGAGGCCGAGGTGAGTAGATCACTTGAGGTCAGGAGTTCAAGACCAGCCTGGCCAACATGGCAAAACCCCATCTTTACCAAAAATGCAAAAATTAGCCAGGCTGTGGTGGCACGTGCCTGTAATCCCAGCTACTTGGGAGGCTGAGGTGGGAGAATCGCTTGAAGCCAGGAGGCGGAGGTAGCAGTGAGCTGAGATCGTGGCACTGCACTCCAGCCTGGGCAACAGAGTAAAACCCTGTCTAAAAAATAAATAAATAAATAAATAAATAAATAAATAATAAATAAAATTAAAAACAGAAAAAAGAAAAAAAGGAAAAAAAGAAGAACACAAATACTCATAGCTGCTTTGTTCATAAGAGCCAAAAACTGAAAATACCCAAATGCTTATCAGAGTCAATAAATAGTTGTATCATTATATAACACAGTACTACACAGCAATGAAAAAAATGACAGCTATATGCAACAACATGCATAATCTCACAGACATGTTGAGCAAACGAAGCCAGATACAAAAGAATTCTGTATGGCTCCATTTGTATTAACTGGGAGATGGTAAAGGGAACCTGCTGGGTGTTGAAACTGTTCTATATATCGATATATACATATGTAAAAGTTCATCAAGCTGTACACTCAAGGTTGGGCACTTCACTGCATGTTCTACTTCAATAAGAAAGTAAAAAATAAAATAAAACCCTTATTTAGGATTTTCACATCTATGCTTATAAGTGAAAGTGGCTATAATTTTCTTTTCCTGTATTATCTTGCCTTGTTTTGGCATCAAGATTATACAAATCTCAGCAAGCTTGACAGCTTTTACACTTTTAAGAATTTTTTGAATGGTGGAAGAGGCTCACAGAGTCACTGTAAAGAGCAATTACATAATATGTGAGTGTGTGTTGAATAACACAATGCTCTGAAACATATAAGCAATTATTCTGTTATCATCACCATTGCATTTCAGTTCTGCTCTTACGTATGTCCATAACCATCTGAACTGTTCACATTGGAAATAATTTCAGTTTGGCTTCAACAAAGACAACTCTGAAGATTCTGAATCAGTTTGGTTTGGAAAAAAGTGAGAGAGAGAAAGCTTTATGGATGTAAATATCAAGTACAGATAACAGAAACTTAAAAAGAGATATAGTTCAAGTTCCAAATGTGATTTGGACAAAATTAAGTAAAAGGTCACTTGTACTTGACTCTTAACCTAAAAAGGAATATTAAATAAGTTATGTTCCATTGCAATTCTCTTTGTGGCATATTTGCTGCTCTCCAAATCACCTTTAATATAAAAGATAAAATAATCTCAAAACACTGGTATTAAATACTGAAATGGTAATATAGATGCCTTGCTTTAATAATTCTGGTATAGTTTTCTAAGTCCTTAAAAAAATCTGTTGTTTACATATAATTAGAATGAATGAACAAATAACCATGTTTTTATCAATTTCAACTACTCTCAGCCATGAGACTTGAAAGTGGCGAACTTCCAGGGAAAGGGTTAGAAGAACTGGCAAGGCGAGCTAGGGTAGTGCCAGGGGCTTTCACGTTACATTTAATCACAAGAACACTGCAATGAGGAAAATATTATCCCCATTTAATTACAAAGAAACTTGAGTCAAAGGTTAAGTAACATGTACACAATCATATGGCCAGGAGACTCTCATACCAGAACTTGAATCAAAGTCTCTCCTCCTCCAAGGCCCACCCTCTTTCTACTTATACCAGTGAAAGTCGGCAGAGGTTCCCACTCTATTTGAAAATGAACTGGGGTAAAAACTGAGAAATGACTCAGAGTAATCACAGACGTAGAACATTTGCTGCAAGAGACACATTTGAATGTTATCTGAACATCCTGTGGTTTTGAAGAATTATCCCTTTTCCCAGGACAAGCAAAGTCCAGGCCCATCACAAGCCATACATCTTTTCAGAAGACATAAACATTTTCCCTTGTTTCTTCATCTCTCTGACTTGACAGACATAATGAAAACAGAACAGTCTACCAATAAGCATAGATTTATCTTTTTCAATACAATCTATTAAAGCTTAATTGACAACCATAACTATTAAAAATTGAAGAATGATAAAAGTTAAAAGTTTTCAATACATTCAGAAAAACCACAGGTAAATCAGAAAGATAGGCAGGAAAAGGGCCAGATGCTTAATGGAAACTCCCACCCAACAGTAAATCATCAAATGAAGTTGCAGAGACTCAGACTCCCTAACAAGGTAGCTCCATCAGGTCACTTCAGGTGTGTTCACACCAACAGCATTGCATGGAAGTGGTCGGTCCAGAGCAAGCAGAGCTCACAGCTGGAGAATCATGTAAGTGTGGTCATGATATGGCCCTAGGAAAATCACAGAGGGGGAACTGAGGAGGGCAACATGGGAACTCAGCCCTGGGAACTCCTAGCCTGATGGGCACACTCATCATTTAGCAATCATTATCATAATTACCACGAAATTATTGTTGTCCTTGGGGGTGGGGAGAAGGCCTATTTTTGCACTCTGGTTTCACCAAAGGTTCCAAGATGACTACTTCAATTTTCAGAATAAATAATTTCTTTTCCCAAGATTGTCTCAGAGAAGCCAAGCCTTACCTCATGACTTTTAATTCTAGTTCTCTAATATGAATTTTTCAGTGGCCTTGGGCAAGGTGTTGGAGTGCTCAATGCCTTAATTCCTCTAGTTGCTAAATAGCAATAATGATACCTGCTGTCTTCAGGCTGTAAGACTAATTGCTTAAAAATTGCTAAGTGTTTTGAAAAAAAATAGCTTGTGGGGGAAGAACATCATTTTTGGGAGACAGTGCAACGTAAATAGCATCTTTGAGTCTTTGATTTGCGTCTTTCAGCATACTCCAAATTTCGCTCACATCTTCAAACTCACTTAATTCCTTCCCACCTCAGCACCTGCCCACATTCAGATCCCTGTGTAAGATGTTCTCATCCTGTCCCTGCTCTGCCATCACCTGATCAATGCCTACATATCCTCATTTCTCAGCTTAAGTGTCCCTTCCTCAGAGAAGCTTCATGAGGGCAGGAAGGGCAAGGACAGTGCCTGTCTTGGTCACCACTGAATCCCCAGTGCCTAGCACAGCATCTGACATATGGAAAAGGCTCAATAAATATCTATTTCATTTATTTATTTAATGAACATACGTGGAATCTTGGGCAATTCATTTAATAACCGTGAGCCTTTGTTATCTCATCTGCAAAATAGATAGCTAAAATAAATCATCTCCAGTGTCCCTTCAGCACTAACATTCTGGGACTGTGACTTGGGGATCAGCATCCTCCTGTTGACCTTAAGCCACTTTTTCATTTTATTCTACCTAACGGTTTCTACGTAACTACCAAGATTACCATGATGGTTAATTTTATGTGTCAACTTGGCTGGGCCACAGGGTATCCAGATATTTGGTCAAACATTATTCTGGGTGTCTCCATGAGAGTGTTTTGGATGAGATTAACATGTAAATTAACATGCTGTTGATTCTGAGTAAAGCAGATTGCCCTTCGTAATGTAGGCTGGCCTCATTCAGTCAGTTGGCAGCCTGGATAGAACAAAAAGACCAGCCTCCCACAATCAAGAAAGAATTCTCCAGCAGACTGCCTTCAAACTTTATCTGCACATCAGCTCTTCTTGGTTTTACAGCAGACTGCCATTAAACTCTACCTGAAACATTGGCTATCTTGGTTTTCCAGGGAGTTGGCCCACTCTGCAGATTCTGGATTTGCCAGCCTCCATAATCACATCAGCCAATTCCTTAATATATATTTTTTTAAAATTAATGAATATGTATATATTCATTGCTTGCATCACATGTTGGTTTTCCTTTGTGGTATAACATAGTTGTATTCAATATTAATGCATATTTTTTCTGTTCGGGATATTTTTATGCAAACTTTACCTAACATGGGAGGCACCACCATTTTGCCTGAAGACCCTAATTCTCAAATTAGAATAGAGCCATAACAGTTTCTGCTTATTCAGTAGCTTGTCAATTGGTATATACATTTAAGGATGGCCTTGCTAGAAAGTTGGGTATTTCATGAAGGGAGTTGTAGTGAAATTTCCACTCCATTCTGGCTCATCCCCCAAAATTTTGGAGTCATAGGCCAGAAGTAGTCCCATAGGAAAGTCTAACATTTTCTCTGACTGAAAGAAAATCACGTTTCCCATGTGTGAAAAATATCCTAAATAAACACAATCAACTCAAACTCCAGGTAACCAGTTGAGTGTTGTTTTATAAATACACTATCAAATAAGTTTAGTCTATATGGCTTCTCACTATAATGAGCAAGAATTTTTCTGTTTCCTTCTTGTCTCTTTCTTCTTCTTTTCAGCCTGCAAGTACTGTCAAAATAACAGCCAGACAGTAAGAGAGAAGTCAGAGCAGCCCATCAAAAATAAGAGTCACATGACAATTATTTCATGATGGAAACTTTCAGCAAAGTGCGACTAGGATAAAAGTAGGATCACTTGTGACTTTGTTATGTCACACCATTTGAAAGGGGAGGACCTAATTTTATGTTACACTTAAATCTATTAAATTAAAATCCAAAGAAAAAATAATTTTTACTCAAAAGTTATTCAATGATTTCAATAATATGAAAATATATATGGATAAGGTTATTCACCTATGTCCACTGTTTGTAATTGTAAAATATTAGAAACAACCTAAACATTCATACATAGGAAAATGATTGAATAAACTATGGTACATCCATACAATGGAGTACTACACAGCTTGAAAAAAAAGAGCACAGCTAAAGAACAAAGAAAATCTCTATAAACTGGTGTGGTGGAATTTTTAGGACATTTAGTGAAAAAAGCAAAATGCAATACAGTACCTTTATATGCTACCTTTTCATAAAAAAAGAAGAGAAAGAGAAGAAAATGTACATGTATCTGTACATTCATTCAAAAAGAAACACAAGAAGGATAAACCAAAGGCTGTAGAGATTGCTGAGACTGGTTAACCACAGCGGGAGGAGATAATAAGGGGATATAATAGAAGGATTTGGCAAAGGGAGGTGAAAATGTTACTTCCTAAGAATGTCTTTTTGCACAGTTCTGACTTTTGGAACCACATTAATGGTTCACATGCTGAAAAAAAGTGAGTAAAATTAACAAATAGAAGGAGAAACTACATAATTTATTCCATGATTTCTTTTTAATTTTGGCCATGAATAAGGTTCAGGACACAGCTTTACTTGGTGGTTTTGGAAATGTTTTATTTAGGCTTTATACTCTTTTATTTATCTCTACCACCATGGAAACACAAATTAGTAATAGTTCAGCTTCCAAAATCTTATTGGAATAAAAATTTTCAAAAAATATTACTTTTGTTCTTTTTATTGTATTCAGTAAGGTGATACTTACATCGCACAGGATCTAATTTCTTAAAGGTGCATATAAATGTGTACTCCATTAAGCAACATTTGAAAACACATTGTATTTTTCATCCTTGGGCAGACCTAAATTTGCAGATTCAAGCAATAGCATGCTTTCGCCCACTTATTGCACTCCTTCCCTCATGCTTTATCTGGTGTGGAGTCCTTGACAGCCCTCATGATTGTCTCTCAGCTTACCCCGGGGAAATGAGAAAGAGTCAGAAGGTACCTTTTCAACATCACAGGTAACATTTAGGGTAAACTTCTTACATGAGATGACACTGGCCTGTTTTTCTGCTAATAAATCACTGCTCATTTTTCCTCCTGTCACTCTGTTGCCTATGTACATAATAATAATCCCTTTTTAATTTCTTATTTTACAAGAGGCTTCATTCAGCTTAAATTTCAAAGACCCAATTTTTAGCCTAGATGATGAATTTTCCCATTTAAATCACATTTTTCCTAAATAGACACACACAGTACATAGGCTTAAATTACAAAATTATATAGAGCACAAACTAGAATTGAACACTGACATATAAAGGGTCACTTTGAGACAATTTGATCCTTAGTGGATGATTCTCTTTTCCTAGCAATACATTATCACTGATATTGCTATAGCCATGGCAAAACAAAATCACATCATCCTTAAATGTAACTGTCTGTGGTAAAATAAGAAGATGATCATCTATTATGATATCAAAAATTGGCTTCCAGATTTGTGGAACAGTTTGGACAAGATAAACCTCTAAAATCCATTTTAACTCTAAAATGTGCAGTTTATGAGCTATATCGATCATAAATCAGGAACAAAAGCAACTTATTGATTCCTTTTTTTGAAATCATGAACTAAGCTAAGAATTTACACAGAACAAACATGCAAGCAATTTTTGCAGTGTACAAGCCCTCTATATATACAGGCAGTCAAGTCTATTTCAAAGGATAAAGTAATAATCATGACTCATTGGAAAGCAAGTAGTAAAATGGGCCTGGGAGCTTGACCTGAGAGGGAACCATTCATGGTGCACAGCTCAGGGCCTTCTCACTGGAACCATGTCTTTCTCAATGTCACTCCCATTAGTAAAAGGGAAATGACCAACTCTGCTTCAAAAAGAAGAGCCATTGTCTGGGCACAGTGACTCACACCTGTAATCCCAGCACTTTGGGAGGCCAAGGTGAGCGGATCACTGGAGGCCAGGAGTTTGAGACCTGCCTGGCCAACATGGCGAAACCCTGTCTCTACTAAAAATACAAAAATTAGCTGGGTATGGTGGCAGTGCGCCTGTAATCCCAGCATCTTGGAAGACTGAGGCAGGAGAATGGCTTGAGCCTGGAGGCGGAGGTGGCAGTGAGCCAAGATCGGGCCACTGCACTCCAGCCTGGGTGACAGAGTGAGACTCTGTCTCAAAAAAAAACCAAAAAAAAAAAAAAGGGCCATAGATTTTCCTGCTGGCATTATAGCAATGGGTAACACAGCCTCATCTCTTCACTCCCTTGAATTTTATCTTTGCAGTGGGTATATTGTTCATGCATTCTTTGTCAGAATCTCACATTCTGTACATATTTGTGCTTGGAAAAACACTGTGTATATATCTTCATTGCTACAAATGAGTAGTCTTTTCTTCTCTTCCTGCTTTTACTGATTCTGAGGTTGAGAGTATTAACGTGAATGAGACCATTTTAAACAAGAGTGTCATTTTGAAATTTAAACCAGGAAACAAAAATCACTAGCATGAAAACTGAATCACTAGCAGGAAAACTTATAATCTAAAATATACTACCCTTATCAACAAAGTTATAATTATTATCCAACCCAAGACCTAACTCTGTTACTGATCAAGATACATATGCACACACATATATACACACAGCTTGCATTTAGTGCAATACATGCTGCTTAGCATTTATAAATCTACAGCAAAACTAACTTCATCAAACGAATCGTATTTCCTTGATGATTTACTTAAAGATAAAAACTTGTCAGTGAATGTCAGGAAATCATAACTGGAGATTTAGTAAATTATTTTTATCACACTAATGGAAAACAATGCTTTTAGAAAGTAATAACAGTAAAATATTCTAACTGTATAAATATTATTATGTTAGAATGATTCCTTTAAAAATGATTGAGAATGAAATAATTGTATCAAAAGCTTAAATGGCATGACTGGCATTCTTACCCATTTGCTTTTGCTATTTAGTTGCAGAAATTTCTAAACTTTTTAGTACTTTAGGGAAACGTGCCACTAACTCTAACTTTACATCCCATCAAACAAAATTTCAGTATTTTTTAACTTTGTACCTGCACCAATCAATCCATTTCCAAAGTTAATATGATTTTGTAACTGAGGGTAGCATCATCACTGGTGGAGGCTGTTAATACATCAACATGATGTTTTTGTGTTTGGCAAAATGACAATTGTCAGGCCTTAGGATAAGCAGGAACTCCAGCTAGCAATGGCAGAGGATGTACTATGTGAAATGTAATATGCTGCAGGATGGGAAACAATCATCTCACAGAAACTCAGTTAACTGAATTCCAAAATTTAGAAAACTGAGCTTTTTCATGGCTTTACTATAGGAAATGGAACCCCCAGATTTAGACACTCACAGGTTAAAGGGAGAGTTACGATAGTTCCACTGAACTAATAAGATGGAGGCCAACTTAACCTTCAATTCGGAGAAGACTAATTTGATTTTTAGGTGGTTTATTTGGAAGCTGTCTTTACTGCATTAGTATTACATGTTAGAAATGTTGACTCTTTCATCAAAGAAAAGAAACTCAAGGTGGTAGACTTTTAAGGAGAGGATAAGTATATGTATGAAGCAGTTACTTCATCATTAAGCTTGGTGTGCTAGGATCCTTCATAATGAATATCACCTAAAAAATTCTTTCATCTTAGTCTAGATATCTAAAAGTCTAAGAAAAGTAATTTGGATTGTTCTATGCTAAAAATTCCATTTCTGGCTCCCTAGTCACAAAAGATACACATTAGACTCAAACATTCAACCACAAGAACGGGAACTAAAAATGATACTTGTACCAGTAAAAATATCAGAGGCAGTAAAAATAACAGACATCATTCTCCTTCCCAGTATATTATTTAGGTCTGGTAGAGAGACACAGTATTTTACCATCATACCAACCAATTATTTGTACTATTGACAGCAAAAAAAAAAAAAAAAAAACAACTCAAAGCTCAAAATTTCCTCATGAAAAGACAATGAAAATGAATTTTTAAAAAACATACAAAGAAGCAATTTACAAAATCATATTTATAGCTCCAAAGTTAAGAATAAATGAAGAAAACATAAGCCAAGCAATATGTGTGTCTGCCATTCCACTCAGCAGAAAATGCGCTGCCCTGCATCAATTCCCCATGGTGGAAGACTGTACTTTTTTATTGATCAGGATGAACAGAATAGTTCTCTGATCGTATTAGCTACTAATATTAACAAAGATGTTAGACTCAAAGAGCAGACTTACAATTAGATGCAGAAAAGGAGCTGGACATGCTCTTTTGTTCTGCAAACCAAATAGCTTTAAATTTCTGTTGTGCCAATGACTGTTCCATCAAAGTATATTTTGGCTAAAAAAAATGCCTGCCCAAACCACACATTACTCATTGCTCATGCAATCTGACACTCAAACACAGCTTTTTTTTTAAATCCTACAATTGAAAGACTACAGAAATTGTACATCCCTTCTACCATGAAATATGTCATTCAAGTAACATGAAATAGTACAATAATACTCTCAAACTGTGAATAACTCCTCCCTAATACAATAAGTGCTTGAATGCTGATGGAGATTTAATTTGCACAGTAGAAAACATAAACCCATCCAGACACCCAAATAATTACATCATTACCTAGTCAGGTGTGGGGAGAAGTAGGTAGAAAAACAACCAATACACTTCATGACCTGTTAGCTTCTTTAAAAAAAAAAATCATAACAACAAACTTGTACATGTGCCTACAAATATTCATGCAGACTTTCTGAAACGAAAGCTTATAGCATTATGGCATTCACACAATAATTCAATCTAATTGTGTAGGCAGGCTGTAAAACGGCTGTTTCTCAGATGGTTTCCTGACAAAAAAATAATGTTAAACCTTCTTCTCTGACATCTAATGTTTCAGGTTTTTAAAAATACTATATAAAGACTGAGATTTATTTCCTAAGATGTTTCATTAATGGTTGTGGCAGGCAGCTGGCCTGAGGTTTGACACACAATAAAATCCATGTCAAGAATATTAAAGATAGTGCAAAAGATAACTATGAATTTACATTCAAACAGGCTTTTGACAAAGCCATTGCAACAGGCTCCTAATCAGGTCTTGAGACCTAGCCTGCCCTCTCTTTAAACCCGTGATCCTGAAAAGGAGCTTTAAATTGGAAATTATTACACATTAAAACCTCAACATGGGCCAGATCGAAGTGGATCGATATCTTGCCGAGCACAATAAATCAGCCTTCTGCTCTGCGGTTACTGTTTGCTGAACATATTTAAATTTTCTTGTAACAAATTAATTCCAACATTTTCTCTTGATTGAATTAGAGCAAGTGTTGGAGCTGTCACAAGTATTTCGCTGCTTCAGGGAGACAAATTGCTCGTCTGGACATGGGTAACAAGCCAAAGTGTTGAGTCCCTGATAATCTTTCCACTAATTCTCCATTACAGCAAAATGAAGCCATAAATCACCATGACAGCTGATCGATGTAAACATTGTTTCCGCCATGATTGCCGGAGCTCCCTGTGGAGTTACTGTCCGCTTACAATTCGCTGAAATTACTCCCCGTGCAGCCTCCCTGGAAACTACGGGAGCCTTGGAACCAAAGTCACTCCTGCCTGAAAAGTAACCATCTCATTTCAGACCTCAACCCACTTTCAAAATAGCAAATATTAATCAAAATGCCCTATTTAGCTACAGGCTAGGTAATCTTTTAAAGCTAAGAAGTATTCCTTAGGCAATCACTCTTTCTGCAAAAAAATGAAATTTTAAACTGCTATTTTATAAAATATATTTGTGGAAATGTAACAATGTCAGCCTCAAGTACTGTCATTTTCTCTTAACTAACTAGTGGCAAGTTGGATGAAATTACTTGACCCTTTATCGAGTTCTACTAATGTGTTCTAAAAAAGAAATTAAACCACCTTGTGGCTTGCCCTATGGCAGACTTCCATGCACATTTAATTCCAGAAAAGATGCATTAAGTAGTTCTGGTAGAACTAATTCACAGACTGAGCCTCCCGTGTTGGTAATCTGTCTGCATAATGCTCTACTACTATTCAAGGTTCTTACAAAACATTGCAGTTAGTTACAGGACAAAGCAAGAGTGGTGGTTACATTCACCTTTGAATCGGGGCAGTAATTTTTCATTCCGGTAGTATTCCAAGTTTTCATTCTTGTATAATAGGATTAGGAATTGCCAGTAAAAATGCATAGCCCTATCAATATTCTGAAAATAATTGAATAATTTTAATGATACATTTTTAATGCAACAGGTTACTTACATGATGGATGGATTTAAGTAATAACTGAGTTCTAAAAAGATATGCCAAATTTTTAAAATTCAGGTATTTCCAAGCTAAAAATAAGACAAAGCAAGAAACGTGTTGATACAACAGGATACACACACACACACATTATGTATATACATATATACACATACATTATATATACACACATACATTTTATATAGATATACACATATATATATACACAATTTTTTTAAAGAGATGGAATTTTGCTATGTTGCCCAAGCAATACTCTCACCTCTCCCTCCTGAGTAGCTGACTAGCACCAACACACCCATTTTATAGCTTATATTTTTATGTGAAAAGACACAATCTCAAATAATTGCATGCACAGGTAGATTCATACTGTCTATCTACTACCAAAACGTTTTTTCTTTTATAATTTAATAACAGTCAATTTGAAGCACACATTTATCATTAATAAATATTCAGAATATATGTTAATATAATGTTGATTACCTTATTTTCTTCTAGAAGAGAATATAAATGGTAAAACTTTAAGATCTTGGTCTATTATAATTTGTCCTCACTATAAAAAGCATACTGCTTTGTGATATTTTCTTTTAAGTATGAAAAGCTTAATAGTGAAACACAATTATAATGTAAAGATAATTAAAATGAAAATAAAGTAAACTAAAATGTAACCTATAAAAAGTCAATAAGGGCCAGGCGCGGTGGCTCATGTGTGTAATCTCAGCACTTTGGGAGGCCAAGGCGGGTGGATCACCTGAGGTCAGGAGTTCAAGACCAGCCTGGCCAAAATGGCAAAACCCCATCTCTACTAAAAATACAAATATTAGCTGGGCATGGTAGTCCATGTCTGTGGTCCCAGCTACTCAGGAGGCTGAGGCAGGAGACTCGCTTGAACCCGGGAGCCAGAGGTTTCAGTGAGCCGAGATCGTACCACTGCACTCCGGCCTGGGTGACAGAGCGAGACTCTGTCTCAAAATATAAATAAATAAATAAATAAACGTTTTTCTCCAACTTGCCAAACCCTAAAGTTTTGGAGAAATAAAATAATTATGTACAATTTCCTTGCATATCATGCCTAGCACTCTTGTCTATTAAAATTAAATAACCTTAGATCTCTGAGTATTTTTTTTCATCTACATAAAAGTGTATGCACTTACACAAACAAAATTCATTAGAAGACTCATAATTTAGTATTTGGCCCACACGTTACCAAAGATGTAGAAGCGTGATTCCATAGGGCATATAAATATCACACTGTCTCCAGAATTATAGTTTATATAATGCTAAGGGTTCTCAAAATTCCTTCAAAGAAGAGCTTTTCTCTCATAAACTGAACCTCACTGGGAAATGGAGAGGCACTTTCCTAATCCTTTTTGTTAGTTCCATGGTTTTAGGAAAAACCTAGATTCACAACACATGTCCCTGAGTTCATCACTTTACTGGATGTGTAAAGTAAGATGGGTAAGATTCATTCATCAGTGTCTACCTCAAATCATTGTCCAACCAATCACAAGTTTAGATCAATGAGTAGTAATTAGAGAGAAGTGGAAGATGATGTTATAGTGACCACAGAAAGGCAAAGAAGTCAGAAACCAGTATGTAATGACAGGCCAGATTTTTTTAATCATTATTTGAATTACTCTATAAATTACTAACTCTGTTGAGTATTCACTCAAATCACTAACTCCATTGAGTGAGACATAGGTATAAATTGTCATTATTTTTTAAAAACAACAAACGTAGATTTTATTTTTTTTGTTTAGTTATACAATAAATGTTAAATTTGAACACCATATTTAGGAGAAAATCAATTCCACTAAATTAATTTTTCATCTTCAATGCAATCTATTTTTGGATTGAAAAGAGGGATAAATCTTTGTGTGTATTTCCAAGTAAATGTGCTTTAAATGTTTTGATGCTGAATTCACTGTATTTACTCTGATATTCAACTCACAGTTCTGATTAATGGGATTTAAACAGGCAAGAAAACCCCCAAAACATCGCTGATTATTTTAACAACTAGTTAATGGCTTAAAATAACTGATGTGTGGCTGAAGTTTATGTAATTTATAATCAAAACAAAATTTCACTTCAAAATGTCTTAGAGTTGTTCAATTGTATGTTAAAATTGAAACAACTATAAAAACTTCAATAAATATATTTTCTTCCAAGAAATGACACACTGTGACTTTTTTGTTATTGTTGAGTTTGATGTTTTTGCCTCTAAGGAGGTCAGCAATATGGAAACATAAAGGCCAATTTAATTTGTGCATCTGCGGCTGCCAAGTATTTTAATTCAGACAGCTGTGACTGAAGAGTTAATATTTTACTTGTCAAAATCCAAAAGAAGGCCAGTGAATCACTCTAATTCTCATTAAGAGGCTTTCCCCCAGTAGCACCCTAATTCAAAATAATGAAAGTAGAGACTGAGTGCGATTCTAATACCAGTTGAGACCTATCTTTTAATATTTCTCCAGTGATGGATTAGGGATCGGGGAAATTCATCTCACATCATAGAGCCTAATTTAATAAGGGATCATTCCAAGAGTATTGCATTTTATAATAATGTCATTTAATGTGTCGTCTTCCATTTTTACTGTCCCATATGTATGCTTACACGATGGTGCCATAGGAATAAACTTTTAAAGAACCAGAATCATTTTTAGTTTTCATTTTCCTTAAGTAGGGGCCCATCAATGAAAGCATCCATTAGTACGTTTATTATCACAAAATAAGGAAGTGAGGGAAATATCCGATTTGGAGGAAAAGTTAATAGAACTGTAAGTAAATATTCAACTTTTTACAGATTCTTGAGCATTGGAGAACGTGAAAATGTTTAAGAGAAGGTTTAAATAAATCAAATTTTATTATCTGATATATTACAATAATACAAAAACCTGGTGACCTAGTACCTTAAAACGCACAATAAAATAGCATTCTAAAAATCTAATCTTGCTTTCTCCTATTGCTCCTCATTTTCAACTGATTTACAATGCGAGTGAAGATTTAATAACTGCTTAGTAAAGACTAATTATTCATGGTGACTAACTTTAGGGAAATAATATGAAGGGCTATTTTTCCATAAATTGCATTCACTTACTCAATGAGGAAAACAAATTGTCAGGAACAACATTATATGAAGTACTTAACTTTATTATTTTATATTAACATCTAACTGTATTTAATCAACTTTGCTATTTTTATCTTGGCATTACAGTGAATGTGAAACACTTGGCAATTACTAGGGCACTAGTTACGCAAGTTCAGGTCAGAGCATCACAACCATATAAATGTCAATACATTATTATTGGCTATAACTCCTACACCAGCAGCAGGAGTGCTGCTTAATCACAATTATGTTCTATAAAGCCTTTAGGACAGCTGGTGTTGTAGCGTAATAAGAGAGTTTCCCTTCAAATATATTCTCTAGATTGGGTCTTTACCTTTAGATAATATCTTTAATAATGTCCTTTTTCATTCTGATGGCATTAGTTTAAACACATAAACTCTATGACTGCAAATTATACTATAGAAACATTACTTTGTGGTAATTGTTAATCTGAATGTAGCCATTTTTCAAAAATAGAAATAATCTGAGTGGAAATGTAATACACTTTAAAATTCTTTTTAATGTTTTTGCCTCTGTGAATATTTTCCTATATGTTTTGTAGTTCAGTTATTCTCAATGTATTACAAATGTTTCAACTCTTTACTTGGATTTTAAAATAAATCTTGTTTTCTCATAGCCTTTGACTTTTTATTCCTGCCTTGCCTAAATATACATTCTTGCTATTTTTTCCCACCTATCTTCAGGACTTTCATCCCTGTTTTTCTTTTTTTACTGTATTACATTGTCTATTGTACCCTAAAATAATCCCCTAGGACCTGTTTCTTTTTCCTTTACCACATTTTTTCTTTAACTGTCTTTATTTCTGCCCATTCAGTTTATGTTCTGTTATCCATTTCAGGTTATCTTTTCATCTTTTACTATTTCTTTTAAAAAATCATGAGTTCTCCTGTTGATAAGAATAATATAACATATATACAGATTGATTCCTAGAATCTCTTTAAGGAAGTAATTTACAGGAAAAATACCATGATATTCAAAACCATGTCAATAAATTAAAAAAAGGAAAAAAAGCACTGAATGTTATCAAGAATAATTAGAAGTGATTATTTGAGTCATACACGGAATGGTAGGAGTAAGGGTAAAAACATAGAAATAAAACCTAAAACAAACGTATAAAACTAAGTACATATTATTAAAAATCACTAAAAGTGATTTGGGGGCAATAATCAAAGACAATTCTGCCACTTGCTTTTTGAAAATCTGATCATCCCATTTTATTTTAAAAACCAAATGTGACATAAAAATTATAATTAAAATATTCTTGTTTTACCTGTTTTATTGTGAAATTATGGTTACATAAGCATTTCATGAAACCCGCTGGTTATTATGTGAAAATATTAATAATACAACATTCCCAGTATTTACTATGGACAGATTAACATACTAAATCCACTTGGAAACTAGAAAACCTTTCTATGTGAACACAAAAAGATCTTTCCATATACCATGATTAGGACTTTAGAAAATTAATGGTTTTTTTCTTTACACCCAAAACACATGTGTTAAATAAATAAAGAAGATAATTAAAAAGACAGTTTACATCTGAATCTGCTTCAAAAGTGAGGAGGGGGGCCAGGATTTTCACATGAAATTGAACAAATTGATATTTATATACAAACGTTCACAACAAAATTCATATAGGATTAATCAAGGTGGCATGAGAAGGTAGCAACTTGTCACAATAGGAAAGACAGGACCAAAAGTGTAAAATACAGATATTTTAAACAAAGACATTCAGCACAGAACCAGACTGAATTCAAAGAACTGTGCTCTTCATTCCAACTGAAAGAACCATATATATTCTATTCAATGCTTTTGTAAAAATCCACTATATGTCATCATAGCCATTTTTGGCAGCTGTCTTATTAGCTCAATTAAATTGAAAAAAAAAGTTTTATTTTCTTTTTTTCACTTAATTTACCAGGTTTTTCTTTTGATTCAATAAAACATACTATAAATGCCAAATTTTTCTTTTCAGCACCTTTGAAGCCAAGATCTGAAAAGTTTTTCTTACGAGAAAGTAAGGTCAAGTGGCAATGACACTGAAATCTACAAAAGAAAGGTCTAGTGAACAGAGCAACTGATGGTTATTGTTCTCAGAGACTAACGTCACCAAGCAAAAAATTATTCTAGAGAATTAATAGAATGCATTTAATGCAAAATTGCCTCCAGAAAGTTAATTGAGTTTTTAAAATATGATGGTAAATTACAAATTAGCATCTCCATTAAACCAAACTACTGATAAGCAATAGTCTCTCATGACTATTAAGTTTCCCCCATACTCTATTCCATGGTGAAATAACTTTCCAATGCTAAGCCTACTTGGAAACTGTTAAATTTCAGAAGACTGTGAAATAAGTTACTGATTTACAGGATTTTAGTTTGGCTCAGCTAAAGGAGAGAATTAAACTATTTTAGCATTACAGGATTTTACTAAGTATTTGTATAGTATATTCACATTTGTTAACTCCTTCGAGCCTCACAATAACCCAGTAAGGTAGATACTATTATACCTACTCATAAACGCAGTTTTATAAATTCGCCAAAGATCACACATTTAGTAAGTGGCAGTGTGAGTACTTCATAAGTCATCTTTTGACACTACTTGGTGCACTATTCTACTTCACATGATACAAAACTGAACTAAAAATTGGAGATATATAGTTTGTTCCCCCAAAAGAAATGTTTGTCTATTACAGTGTTACCTTCAAGAATGGACCCACCAAAGAAGCTAAGAACCTTGGTTAAAGGTTAGAGGAATTGCTAACTAGAATAACCAGTTTAGAGAAGAACATAAATGACCTGATGGAGCTGAAAAACACAGCACGAGAACTTCGTGAAACATACACAAGTATCAACAGGTGAATCTATCAAGTGGAAGAAAGGATATCAGAGATTGAAGAGCAACTTAATGAAATAAAGTGTGAAGACAAGATTAGAGAAAAAAGAATGAAAAGGAACAAACAAAGCCTCCAAGAAATATGGGACTATGTGAAAAGACCAAACCTACATTTGATTGGTGTACCTGAAAGTGATGGGGAAAATGGAACCAAGTTGGAAAACACTCTTCAGGATATTATCTAGGAGAACTTCTCCAACCTAGCAAGGACAGGCCAACATTCAAATTCAGGAAATAAAGAGAACACCACAAAGATACTCCTCGAGAAGAACAACCCCAAGACACATAATCGCCAGATACACCAAGGTTGAAATGAAGGAAAAAATGTTAAGGGCAGCCACTGCAAAACAAACCAAAATGTAAAGACCATCAACACTATGAAGAAACTGCATCAACTAAGGGGCAAAATAACCAGCTAGCATCATAATGACAGGATCAAATTCACACATAACAATATTAACCTTAAATGTAAATAGGCTAAATGCCCCAATTAAAGGGCACAGACTGGCAAATTGGATAAACAGTCAAAATCCATTGGTGTGCTATATTCAGGAGACCTCTCTCATGTGCAAAGAAACACATAGGCTCAAAATAAAGGGATGGAGGAAGATTTGCCAAGCAAACGGAAAGGAAAAAAAAGCAGGGGTTGCAATCCTAGTCTCTGATAAAACAGACTTTAAACCAACAAAGATCAAAAAAGACAAAGAAGGGCATTACATAATGGTAAAGGGATCAATGCAACAAGAAGAGCTAACTATCCTAAATATATATGCACCTAATACAGGAGCACCCAGATTCATAAAGCAAGCCCTGAGTGACCGACAAAGAGACTTAGACTCCCACACAATAATAGTGGGAGACTTTAACACCCCACTGTCAATATTAGATAGATCAACGAGACAAAATTAACAAGGATATTCAGGACTTGAACTCAGCTCTGGATCAAGTGGACCTAATAGACATCTACGAACTCTCTACCCAAAATCAGAAGAATATGCATTCTTCTCAGCACCACATAGCACTTATTATAAAATCAACCACATAATTGGAAGTAAAACACTCCTCAGCAAATGCAAAAGAAAGGAAATCATAACAGTCTCTCAGACAACAGGTAATCAAATTAGAACTCAGGATTAAGAAACTCACTCAAAACCACACAACTACATGGAAACTAAATAACCTGCTCCTGAATGACTACTGAGTAAATAATGAAATTAAGGCAGAAATAACGAAGTTCTTTAAAACCAATGAGAACAAAGACACAATGTACCAGAATCTCTGGGACACAGCTAAAGCAGTGCTTACAGGGAAATTTATAGCACTAAATGCCCACAGGAGAAAGCGGGAAAGATCTAAAATTGACACGCTAACATCACAATTAAAAGAACTAGAGAAGCAAAAGCAAACAAATTCAAAAGCTAGCAGTAGGCAAGAAACAACTAAGATCAGAGCAGAACTGAAGGAGACAGACACATGAAAAACCCTTCAAAAAAATCAATGAATCCAGCAGCTGGTTTTTTGAAAACACTGACAAAATAGATAGGCAACTAGCCAGACTAATAAAGAAGAAAAGAGAGAAGAATCAAACAGACACAATAAAAATAATAAAGGGGAGATCACCACTGATCCCACGGAAATACAAACTACCATCAGAGAATACTATAAACACCTCTACACAAATAAACTAGAAAATCTAGAAGAAATGGATAAATTCCTGGACACATACACCCTCCCAAGATTAAACCAGGAAGAAGTCAAATCCCTGAATAGACCAATAACAAGTTCTGAAATTGAGGCAGTAATTAACAGCCTACCAACCAATAAAAGCCCAGGACCAGATGGATTCACAGCCGAATTCTACCAGAGGTACAAAGAGGAGCTGGTACCATTCCTTCTGAAACTATTCCAAACAATAGAAAAAGAGAGACTCCTCCCTAACTCATTTTATGAGGTCAGCATCACCCTGATACCAAAACCTGTCAGAGACACAACAAGAAAAGAAAATTTCAGGCCAATATCCCTGATGAACATAAATGCGAAAATCCTGAATAAAATACTGGCAAACTGAATCCAGCAGCACATTAAAAAGCTTATCCACCAGCCTGGCCAATATGGTGAAACCCCATGTCTACTTAAAATACAAAAAATTAGCCGGGCGTGGTGGTACACACCTGTAATCCCAGCTACTCGGGAGGCTGAGGCAGGAGAATCACTTGAACCTGGGAGAGGGAGGTTGCAGTGAGCCGAGATCGTGCCATTGCACTCCACCCTGGGGGACAAGAGCGAGACTTTTTCTCAAAAAAATAAAAATAAAAATAAATAAAAATAAAAAAGCTTATCCACCATAATCAAGTCCCCTTCATCCCTAGGATGCAAGGCTGGTTCAACATATGCAAATCAATAAACATAATCCATCACACAAAGAGAACCAATGACAAAAACCATATGATTATCTCAATAGATGCAGAAAAGCCCTTCAATAAAATTTACACCCTTCTTGCTAAAAACACTCAATAAACTAGGTATTGATGGAACATATCTCAAAATAATAAGAGCTATTAATGACAAACCCATAGCCAATATCATACTGAATGGGCAAAAGTTGGAAGCATTCCCTTTGAAAACTGGCACAAGACAAGGATGCCCTCTCTCACCAGTCCTATTCAACACAGTATTGGAAGTTCTGGCCAGGGCAATCAGGCAAGAGAAAGAAATAAAGGGTGTTCAAACAGGAAGAGAGGAAGTCAAATTATCTCTGTTTGAACATGACATGATTGTATATTTAGAAAACCCCATTGTCTCAGCCCAAAATCCCCTTAAGCTGACAAGCAACTTCAGCAAAGTCTCAGGAGACATAATCAATGTGCAAACATCACAAGCATGCTATACACCAATAATAGACAAACAGAGAGCCAAAATACGAGCAAACTCCCATTCACAATTGCTACAAAGAAAATAAAATACCTAGGAATACAACTTACAAAGGATGTGAAGGACCTCTTCAAGGAGAACTACAAACCACTGCTCAAGGAAATAAAAGAGGACACAAACAAATGGAAAAACATTCCGTGCTCATCAATGGGAAGAATCAATATTGTAAAAATGGCCATACTGCCCAAAGTAATTTATAGATTCAATGCTATTCCCATCAAGCTGCCATTGACTTTCTTCACAGAATTGTTCTCACTCATAGGTGGGAATTGAACGATGAGAACACACGGACACAGGAAGGGGAACATCACACTCTGGGGACTGTTGTGGGGTCGGGGGATAGCATTAGGAAATATACCTAATGCTAAATGACGAGTCAATGGGTGCAGCACACCAGCATGGCACATGTATACATATGTAACTAACCTGCACATTGTGCACATATACCCTAAAACTTAAAGTATAATAATAATAAAAAAAGAAAAAGAAATATTCCCAAGGGGCATAAAAAAAAACTACTTTAAATTTCATATGGAACCAAAAAAGAGTCCGCATAGCCAAGACAATCCTAAGCAAAAAGAACAAAGCTGGAGGCATCATGTTACCTGACTTCAAACTATACTACAAGGCTACAGTAACCAAATAGCATGGAACTGGTATCATTCAACCTAAATCATTTCATCACATTTCACTGATCCAACAGTATCCTCTTTTGGGCCCTCATGGTGTTGTAACTTTGAAATATATTCCATTTAGAACCTTTTGTATGTGTATATAATTTCTTTTCCTCTTTTTTCTGGTTAGGTTATGTATGATTGGTTATTTTCATCAAATTTTCAGGCTATTTATATACAATAAGCTTTGTTTTTCTATAAATCTCCCCATTTTCCAAGCCAGCTCTCTCTAACTTCCAAATGATGACAGAATAAATGGTTACTGACACTGCTACGCAGGTTTTACAGAGAGAACCACATTGACTGCAAGCCCATTTTCTGAAGTCTGCTATGGAAACAGTTACCAAATACTTCTAAATAACGTCTTGATTTTTTTCAAGGGCATCTAAAGCATTTTGGCCTTGATTCATTTTTATTTGTTTCAGCAATATTGTTTTCTAGGCTACTTCTTATCAGTTATCTGTGAGAGAAAGTTCCATTTTATTTTCTTGGGTAAATTTTTCCCATAATTAGATTCTTATCAAACCATATGGAGAATTCCCTCAGAATTATATGCATAATGATTGCAAATTATTTTTACTGCATTTCATTTTAAATGTCATTTTCACATTTTCCTGGTATTTCTAAGTATATTACCATAGACACACTTTAAGGGCTTTTTAAGCTTACATAATGTTTTGGGGTTTGTTTTGTTTTGTTTTGTTTTTTGAGACAGAGTCTCACTCTGTTGCCCAGGGTGGATGGAGTGCAGTGGCGTGATCTCGGCTCACTGCAACCTCTGCTGCTTGGTTCAAGCAATTCTCCTGTCTCAGCCTCCCGAGTAGCTGGGATTACAGGCACCTGCCACTGCGTCTGGCTAATTTGTGAAGTTTTAGTAGAGACGGGGTTTCACCACCTTGGCCTGGTTGGTCTTGAACTCCTGACCTCGTGATCCACCTGCCTCGGCCTCCCAAAGTGCTGGGATTACAGGTGTGAGCCACCCTGCTGGGCCTAAGCTTACACAATCTCACAAGGAAAATATTTTCTAAATCTTCTCTGGACGTCTCTTTATTCTCCGCTATAACTCACTGGGCACCAGTTCCTTGTTTATTCCATAATGTCTCATTTCAGATCCAGAATTCATTTCACTAGAAGGCAACGTAGAAAACAGTCTATTTTTAAAGACACTGGGATAGTGCTCCTTATTTAAAAAGAACAAAACAAACAAAAAAACAAGTGATGTTCAAAATTAAGCAGGAACAAAAATCCAATTTTCCAATGAGAGAGAAAGTAAATATACATGTAAATATTCCAAGAAGAAGCCATACATGGAATTATGATATATTCCTATCAAAATGTCCCGTGGAGAGTGGAGAAGGAAAGATGGAGAATTCCAGGGAGCAAAAGTAGGCTGGAAACACAAAAGCAAAAGGCAAGAAGAGAGTAAAAGATGTAGAACTAAGGTAGGACTGGCTCTCTGCTTAGGGCAACCACTATTTGTTACTGTCCCCTGTGGAAACTTCCTCAGCTATTCATAGATTGGAGCAAACTCTAATCTACATGTTGCAACAACCTGGCTTTGTATATTTACACTGAATTTTGTTAGTCTAGTTGTTAATGATAATTTGTAAGAACCAAATCATAATGATATCAAAGTGTGCTCTCTTTCAATTCTTTTTGTTTTCTAATGAAATGTTTTTTCTGTCCATTGTAACTTCCTTTTGATCATCTAATGCCAGACAGGCTAACCAGCAATTTCCTTAGCAATTATGATTAGCATATTATTAAGAATAAATATCATGCTCCTGCAATAAATAAGCAATCATGAAGATAAACTTGGGAGCAGAGAGGTTGTTGACAGTTCGTCAAACCTTCAACTGATTATAAATTCTGCTGTAACCAGCATTGCAGATTAAAGAGTGAGTATGGTCAGACGCTTCTTTCTTGCTGTGTTGTGCCTGGCTGTCATAAGAAATCTTGGAGCTAAATTTGTCCTTCTCTACGGCTGCACCTAAATATAATAGAAAAGTTAGTGCACCTAAATATAATAGAAAAGTTAGCAGTGCCATTTACTTTTAATTTCTTTCCTCTTTAAAATGTTATCATCGTTTATGGATTCTTGCAGTTAAACAAAACCCTCAAATTTTAAATATGAAGGTTAAATTCTTAAATTATAGTCCCAATTTAACAATGCTGCAATTATAGCTGAGATCATATTCTTTTTTTTTTTTTTTTTTTTTGAGATGGAGTCTCGCTCTGTAGCCCAGACTGGAGGGCAGTGGCGCGATCTCGGCTCACTGCAAGCTCCGCCTCCCGGGTTCACGCCATTCTCCTGCCTCAGCTTCCCGAGTAGCTGGGACTACAGGCGCCCGCCACCGCGCCCGGCTAATTTTTTGTATTTTTAGTAGAGACGGGGTTTCACCGTGTTAGCCAGGATGGTCTCGATCTCCCGACCTTGTGATCCGCCCGCCTCGGCCTCCCAAAGTGCTGGGATTACAGGCATGAGCCACCGCACCCGGCCGCTGAGATCATATTCTATCTTCTGTCACTCAAAACTTTAGCAAACTTTGTATCTTTTTACCTTCAATTGTATCCAATTCATAAGATGAAAAATGTTAAATTAAGAATAAGAACAGAACAGTTTGTTTTCATTATTTCTCCAGAGAGTTGGCTGATTTGATTACTTGATTGTAGGAGGCATCAGTGGAGTTAAAATTATTCCACGTGAGGCCACTAAAGAAAAGGAAAAAAAAGTCAGTTGAGACTAAGTCAAGTCTTTAAGAATAACTTGAGGTGGAAAGATAGAATAATTATAATTATAGCAGTTACCACTCTAGTCCTAAGTTCATTACATGCACTGTTACAGTCCTCATTTTCTAGATGATACAGAAGCCTAGTGACATGAGGGCAGTAGTCCCAGATCTATTAGGCTCTGGCAAAATCAGGAGAGATGAGAGTTACTTATAATCTGGAAAACAGTTTAATTTCGAATGAAAGTGTCCAGATTCCAGTTTCCCAAGAAGGTTATGCACTGGGTTTTCAAAAAAACTACTTTAAAGTCAAAATTTTAGACCCAAGATTGGAAACCACTGGCAATGTTTTTTTAAAACAACTTTATGGAGGTGTAATTGATGCACAATATACTGCACATATCAAGCTATAAAAAAAAAGAATAACTCAAAGCATCATTTTAACCTAATCTTTATAAGGATAAAAGAATTGTTTAAGAAGTAACCAATGCTATGAAATGAAACACATTCAACTTTCTCAAAGTTAATTTCTAAACAATTAATTACATATATAAGTATGTATATTATATCATACTATATATTATATGTAAATATATTTAATATATAATTTAATTATGATATAATTTTATATATTACATCATATATTTAATTACATGTAATTAAATTATATACATATGCAAAAGTGGAAAATAATTCTTTCTTAACTACAGTGTAGTTCTGGTCTTAACCCTAATTCACTAGGGCATTGATGGAACCTAATTCAGGAGAGACTACAGAAAAAGATTCTGCCCCATCCTACCATGTTTTCTTCTTCTATTTCCTCTCATCTGTACAAGTTTATGCCATATCATCACTTCTTGAGTCAAGGCTGAGGCAGTAATTTCAGAGAATTTTCACCCTTTCAAGGTTTATACCATAGTTACTTATTCAGCAAACATTTTTTGAGAATCCAGTGCATGCCTGGCAGTAATGAAGCCAAATATGGCCTCTGTTCCCAGGGAGCATACAGTCTCACTAGGAAGACAGATACTAACCAAGTACAAGTATGATGCATATTACACAGGAAAAGTCCAGAGTACAGTCTGTGGAGTCATGGAAGGCATTTCTAAGAAAAAGATATGTAAGGTGAAGCCTAAATGATATAAGATGAAAGGTGGAAAGAAAGAGCATTCCCGCCAGGAGAATTGCTTGTGCAAAGGCCTGAGAGAGGAACTGACAGAAAATCAGCATGGCTGAATTAAGGGAGTAAATGAGACATAAAGAGGCTGGAAAGACAGGCAGAGCCCTGTAGGCAATGTGAGAGATCATGAGTTTGACTCATAGGTATGGACAAGGGGAAGTCACTGACAGATTTTAAGCTGTGCATTGTGAAAAGATTACTCTGAGTGCAGCGTGGAGACTATGGGAAGAGAGAGCAAAGGCCGGGCACAGTAGCTGGGAGAGGCCAGTTTAGGAGGCTATAGCAATAGTCTTGGTCAATTTGATATCTTAGAATAGGGCGACGGTAATAATGTTACAGAGAAGTGGATGGGTGCCACGGTATATTTAGAAAAATTGGTAAAACTTGTGGACTGAACAGATGTGAGCAGTAAAGACTCCAGGAGAACAGACACTTGAGAGTTGGGGATACCAGGTAATTAAGGAGTAAAGATCTGAATTCCTGCAGAAGTTACAGAGGAGAGACAGCCCAGGGTTGGTGAAATGTGCCTCCCTCCCCCACACACAGTAGGTGTACCTGGTGTTCTTTCAATAGGTTTACTTGGTGCTCTTTACTGTCACCATCTCTTGTTCCTGACCTGAAAAAATGAGGATTATATACCTATGAGGAGATGGGTAATAAATACAGCAATAAATAAATATATGTCAGATCATGATTGCTAAAAAGAAAAAGAGGGGTGAGGTGAAAGATAACTGAAAGATTTTGGTTCTGGCCTGAGAAGCTAGAATTGCTATGAACTGAAATGGAGAAGAATGTGGGAGGATCAGGTATGGAGGGAACACCCAGAGGTTCAGCTTTGGATATCAAGAGGAGTTTGGTTTTATCCATGATACAGGATTCTATGCGGCTGTTAATAAGAATGAGGTAGTTCCAAATAGCTCCAATATTTCTTAAGAAAGAAAAGCCAATCATAGAAGAATTTGTATCCTAAAATCTCAGTTTTGTTAAAATATATACATATATGCATCTTTCATATAGACATTCATATGCATGAAAATACATAGAATAATATCTGCGAAAAAGTGTTAATGGTGTTATTTATAGGAAGTGGAAGGGATGAAGAGAAAAAAATGAGGTGTTTTACATCTTATGCTCTGATCTTATGTATTTTAATTTTCTCCAATAAAAAATGCACTCACATAATTTTTTTAATTTCATAAAACAAACTAAAAAGATAGAATTCACTAAGAAAATGAATAGCATAAGAACTACTAAAGTTACAGCATCAGACTGAAAGGCAGTGACCCATTACAGACTCAGAGAATTCGGTTCCCCTTACTGAGCTAGAAGAAAGATTAGACATCAAATTCTAAATTTTAGTAAGAAGAAAAACTGTTTCAAGGAACCTTGAGAAATCTAAATCAGATATGAGTGTCAGAAATTCAGCCCTCAGAAATGAAAAGGATATCCCTGAGGCAAAACCACAGGAAACACAGACAGGGTCACAAAAGGATGTGGAACTTTTAGACCATGTCAGGGATTCTATTTAGGGCAAAACAGGCAACCAATCTTGGAAGTCCATGCCCAAAGGTCAGCTTTCCTAAGATGGTTATGCTGTCAATGGTTCCTTTCCATACCTATCATATGCTACTTGTAATTCTGAATCATACATCAGATTTCCTTACATCAATTGGTTATAAAACTGCTATTGCCTATATTTTACTTTGGGGGAAAAGGATAAGAAAAATAAGATACAGTAGGTGCCTCTGATATATTAGCCACTGGGCTAGAATATTACGTAGTCAATTTAGTTAAGCAACTAGCAGACTCAGGAAATGTGTTTGTAAAACTCTTACATGAAAACATATTTTAAGTGCAGAACAAAGAGCTCCAGGGCAAAGACTATGGCTCATTTTTCTTTGTTTCCTTGGTTCCTAGCAAAGGACTAAGCACCAGATGACTAGTGTTAGATAAATGTTTATGGGTTGATTGGACAAGCAAGAAGAGATCATTCAGGGGAGCCCTGTAAATAAATCTTGTAGATCCTATAAATCAAGAATAAGTAAAAGGATTCCTCTGAGCACACAATATATGCCATGCACGAATCTAGATCTTTTATATATATCACTTTACTTAATCCTCACAGCAACACAATTCAGGTAGATTTTATTAGCTTAAAGATGAGAAAACTGAAGCCCAGTGATGTAGTTTGGATGGGTGTCCCTGCTCAAGTCTCATGTTGAAGTATAATCCCCAGTGTTGGAGGTGGGGCCTGGTGGGAGGTGATTTGATTATGGGCGCAGATTTCTAATGAATGATTTAGCACCCTCTGCTTTGGTACTGTTCTGGTGATAGTATGTTCTTGTGAGGTCTCATAGTTTAAAAGTGTACAGCACCTCCCCCCTTGCTCTCTTGCTCTTGCTTCTGCCATGTAAAGTGCCTGCTCCGGCTTTGCCTTCTGCCATAAGTAAAAGTTCCCTGAGGCCTCCCCGAAGCAGGTGCCAGCATACTTCCTCTGTAGCCTGTAGAACCATGAGCCAATTAAACCTCTTTTCTTATAAATTGTCCAGTCTCAGGTATTTATTTACAGAAATGCAAGATTGGCCTAATACACCCAGTGATAGTGACTTTCCAGTGACCATTTTGGTCATCAGTAATGCTAGATTAAGCCAAAACTCCCTGACTCCAAACTCCATGGTCTTTTCCCTCTAGCCCAGCACCTGTCCCAAAAAATCATTTGGTAATAGTATAGAGGAAAAAACTCTAATATATTTGCTTTGTATATTTGAATTGTATATGTCTCATATGCTTAAGGAGTATATGGTTATATCCATATTTTTCTTTTAGTGGACATTGACTTTCAGTTTACACCATGGTACAGGAGAACCAGTCTACCCTTCAAAAGTTTTGTTTTGTGTTGTTTTTCATGTGACTATTCAAAGTTTACACTAGAGGTGGTCTATAAACTGTTTATAGATAGCTCTACCCGGATTTTACCTAAAATAATTCAAAGTACGCTACCCAAACCTCAGGATTTTGCCTCTCATATAAGGAAGTGCAAGGCTCTCTAGTGACTGCTGAGTTTCCAGTCAGCTCTCTCTCCAGCACCCCACAACTATGCAAGCCTTCTTCTGCTTCTCAGATGGCTCACCCAGCACCATTAGCTCTTAGCAGCTCACCTCACCCCAACTTCCAGCAGGTGGAAGTTACCTGAACATCTTGTCATCACATCCACAAGCCCACTTGTATCTGCACCCACCCCTCTCCTGTTTCATACCTCTTACTAGTGGCCAAGCATCCCTCTCTCTGTGCTTCAGGTCTCACCCCCACCCTCCCTAGCCTTCTCAGGAATCTTGACAAAAATGGTTAATGGCTAAACCCCTCTCCTATATCTCCAACCTAGCTAGGTATCGGGAGCCCTATTAACTAAGACAGAAAACCTAGAAGCTATAAAATTAAGATAGACCTTGTACATATATTTGTTTTTAATTAAACATTTGTATATAGTAAAAGATATCATAAATAAAAAATAATAATGTTGATGCCAGGCATGGTGGCTCATGCCTGTAATCCCAGCACTTTGGGAGGCCAAGGCGGGCAGATCACTTGAGCTCAGGAGTTCAAGACCAGCCTGGGCAATGTGGCAAAACCCCATCCCTACTAAAAAATAGAAAAATTAGCCAGGCATGGTGGTGCACATCTGCAGTCCCAGCTACTCAGCAGGCTGAGGCAGGAGAATCGCTTGAACCTGGGAGGTGAAAGTTGTAGTGAGCTGAGATCACACCACTGCAGTCCAGTCTGGGCCACAGAGTGAGACTCTGTCTCAAAAAAAAAAAAAAAAAAAAAAAAAATGCCGGGCGCGGTGGTTCAAGCCTGTAATCCCAACATTTTGGGAGGCCAAGGCGGGCAAATCACTTGAAGCCAGGAGTTCGAGACTAGCCTGGCCAACATGGTGAAACCCTGTCTCTACTAAAAGTACAAAAATCAGCTGGGTGTGGTGGCGTGTGCCTGTAATCCCAGCTACTCAGGAGGCTGAGGCAGGGGAATTGCTTGAAACCGGGAGGTGGAGTTCGCAGTCAGCCAAGATCGCGCCATTGCACTCCAGTCTGAGCAACAGAGTGAGACTCCATCTAAAAAAAAAAAAAAGAAAGAAAGAAAGAAAAGAAAAAAAGAGAAATAATAGAGTTGCAAAACTATCTGCAAAGCAGCTGACAGATAAAGGGTGTAGGAAATTCACAGGAAAGTAAATCCGAATGTTCAACAAGCATTAAAAGCTGCTCCAAATCATTACTAGACAAAGAAATGGAAATTAAAGAATAATGTAGTTCCAACTTATGTCCAAAAACTGAAAACTATATGAAAGCTATAAGATTGTAAGTGAATTATAAAGCTACCACAATGTTTAAAGCATGGAACTAGTAGAAGAATAAACAGAAAGATAAATAGAACAGAACATCTAGAAATATGTTCAGATAGCTGAAAGAGTATGAAATAAAGTTAACATTTAAATTTAAAATTAGTGGTGCTTCCTTTAGAAGTCCAGGAGAGTCAGGGGGAAAGGGGCAGAATTTTGGAGGATTACACAATTAAGATTATCACATGAGACCAATAATGTCCATGAGCAAAGTAAACTTTCTCTGTATGCCACCAACAGAATATAGCTCAGGTCCTCTTGGCTAAAGATGGGTCATGTCCTCGCCAATGCCAGTCAGCCAGAGAGGAGAGACTAAAGACCCCCAATGAATTCAGGTGTCTCATGAGTCTCTCCTGCGGCTGGAGAGTACAAAGTCCTGCCTTCCCTGAGAATGTTGGGGTGACTAAGCTGGTAGACTTAAGATGGCTTCAGCCACAGGCATTGACAGTAACATAACTCTGACAAAGAACCTGAGCAGGTCAGAAAGTGCAACATAGTCCCTGGAAGCTTCCTCTATACCTGACACTAAAAGGTATCTCTCCCTTGTGCAGGCTCAGATATATGAGGTTCAACAACTGGTTGGTGAGTCTCAATGTATTAAAAGCACTACTAAAAATACAAAATAAAAAGTCAGTTGCAAAATATGAATTATTTGATAAATTATATTGGTATAAGAACATTTAGGGAAAAATGGTGTTAGATCTTTATTTCACATAATACATCAAAATTATTTTTAGATAAACTCATGATTTCAATATTAAAAATGGAAACATAAATATACCATAAAATATATAGACGTGTGTGTGTGTGTGTGTGTGTGCGTATGTGTGTAGTCTTAAACATATACTCTTGGGGTAGAAAGCCTTTATAATCTATAGCACTAATGATGAAAACCATTTGGCCAGGCATGGTGGCTCACATCTGTAATTCCAGAAGTTTGAGAGGCTGATGTGGGTGGATCACTTGAGGTCAGAATTTCAAGATCAGCCTGGCCAACATGGTGAAATGCTGTCTGTACTTAAAAAAAAAAAAAAAATACAAAAATTAGCCAGGCATGTTGCCGCACACCTGTAATCCCAGCTATTCAGGAGGCGGAGGTACAAGAATCGCTTGAATCCTGGGGCAGAGGTTGTAGTGAGCTAAGATCACCACCCTGCACTCCAGCCTGAGCAACAGAGCGAGACTCCATTTCAAAAAACAAAACAAAACAAAACAAAAAAACCACACACACATACACAAAGAAAAAAATCATAATTTTAACTACACAAAAACAAAAATCAAAAGTTTTATGTATGAAAGGTATCTATGACAAGTCAATATAGTAAGAGTTGTTGAAAAAAACTAAGTTGAATTTTAGCTCACTTTTTACAGGAAAATGAAATCTAGATATATTAAATAAATGAGAAAAGCACTAGGAGAAAATATAAATGAATACATGGTATTTCTGTAAGAAAGGATTTTCTAAGAATGATTTTTAAAACAATAATTATAAAGTAAAATATTGATATAATTGACTACTTACAACTTCAAAACTTCTCTATTCACACGAAAAGAATGTGTACAAAACAATGTGTGCTAAATGTGTACAAAACTTAAAAGTAAAATGAAAATTACTAAAGAAGATGCCACATATAGGACAAAAATGTATTAATACATTTAATACATAATAGTGAATATCTGAATTTTAAAATCAGCAATGACACTAACAGGCAATTCACAACAGAAAAATAAGAAATGGTCAATACATAGTTGGAACGTGTTTGCTCTTGCTAGAAAGTAAATGCAAAATAAAACAGTAATGGTGCATATATTACTTTATAACATTCAAATGTTGGTAAGATTTATAGGGAAATAGACTCTTATGCAGTAGAAGTGTAAACACATACAGCTTTTCACCCAGCAACGCTATTTCTAGGGATCTGATATAAGAAACTAATCAAGGATATAAACAAAAAGTTAGCTATAAAAAGCTTATTATAGCACTAAATATAGGAGAAAATTTGGTAATAATATAAATATTAACAATACAAATTTTTAATCTATCAAGGTATATCTGTATAATAAAATATGATATAGTCAGCAAAATTGTCACATTGACCTGTTTATTGACATGGAAGTTAATCTACATGTTACTGAGTAAAAAAGCATATTACCAAACATCAATATATATGTAAATCTTTATGAGTATATATACATTGATGAATATCTAGAACTGTGTTATTAATATTATTAACTAGTCATTTTTTAGCATACCTCATGACTGTCTTAATATTTTGGCCAGTGATTATCTCTGGACAGTGAGAATTAAAGTGATAGTTTTACTTTCTTCTTTTTACTTTTCTGTACTGTTGGAATATTTTACAACGCCCCTGTTTCATCTTTAGAAAACTACTAACTGTATTGAAAAACAGTAAAGACTACATGGTTCCAATATCATAAAAATGCATGCATATAGGTATAGAAAAAAGAGACAAGAAAAATATATATTAAAATGTTAAAAGTGGTTTCTCCAGATAATAGGATTCTAACGGGGGAGTTTTTAAAATCAGTACTTCCTAAATTTTTTACAATGAACATGTATTGCTTTTATAATGAAAAAATTATTCTTATTATTATTATTAGAAACAAAAATCATTCTTGAACGCATTCAGCTTCTCTTGATTTAGGAAAATCTGCCTGGACAAGCTTCATTCCTTGCACAATGGAAGATATTGGACTAGATGACTGCTAAGTTTCCTTCCAGTTCTTACATTTAAGTATTCTGAATAAAGTCATGCTGTACACTTTTAGATTGGAGTCTTATTGGAAAATTAAAAATAATCTTTACCAAGTTTCAAAAGAAGAACATTGGGCCAGGTGTGGCGGCTCACATCTATAATCCCAGCACTTTGGGAGGCCAAGGCAGGAGGACTACTTGAGGCCAGGAGTTTGAGACCAGCCTGGGCGACATAGTGAGACTCCATCTCTATGAAAAATTTTTTTCAAAAAGTAGCTGAGTGTGGTGGTACAGGCCTGTAGTCTTGGCTACTCAGGAGACTGAGGCAGAAAGATTGAACCTGGGAGGTCGAGGTTGCAGTGAGCCATGATTGTGCCACTTGCTGCATTCTAGCTTGGGTGACAGAGCAAGATCCTGTCTCAAAAAAAGAAAGAAGAAGAGGAAGAAGAAGAAGGAGGAGGAGGAGGAGGGGGAGGGGGAGGAGAGGAAGAAGAAGAAAATGTTGGTACTCTTCACCTATTATTTTATCCAAAATTATGCCACAGAAATAAAAATTCTTTTAAAATAGCTATGAATAAAATATATAAGGGGGTAAAGATGAAGTGAGGATGAGGAGAAGGGAAGGAGGGAAAGGGAAAGAAAGGAAGAGAAAGAAAGAGAAAAGTAATGACCGGGTTTCAGAGAAGCCTAAGCAATGTTCCCTTCTCTCAGGAGTTTTATAAGTGGTCACCAAAATCTAAATAGCTGGTATTCAGAACACCTCAGAAAAGGATGTCACATAGCACTACCTGTAGAAGTGAGAGTGCTTCAGACATGCCATGCACAGTACTGTTAGTTATGTCTCACTGCACGCTTGTGGATAAATGAATATTCTAAGCTCAAGTTTCAAGACAAGAATAAGAGCAAAGTGATTTGGTTAAAACACCGGATAGCAGTCTGAGCTCGAGGTGGGGTCATTCCCACCAAGCTGCAGAATCTTCCAAAATGACTGGAAGGCCTCCTCTCTCTGCATAAAACTACAACTCTGTGGCATTCCCTATTTCGGCAGATTAATAATAGAGCTTGCTCTGCACTTTGTTGTGGAAACCTTACTAATTCTGCTGGTAAATGCCTGAGCATGACATAGTGAGGAGCAGGGTCAATAACTGAACTGTCTACTTTTGATTGATTTGAATTTCATCTTTTCTTTTATGCTTGATATGCACCTGTACAGATACATGCACATATATAACGCTCTGTATCATTGCATATGTTTTGAATGTTGATGATTTAGTGAATGAAATGTAATTTAATTATAAATGGAAATAGGTTTAACGTTGCTGACTAGAGAGATCCTTACAACTTTACAACTAAAAAAGTGTATTATTATGAACTACACATTTCAAAAAACTACTTTTAAAATAACCCCAAGCCTAGTTATCTTATTTGCATTTAAATAAAGACAATATCTATAAAATATCTTAGGAAAACTAATTTAATTTATATACATATATTTTGAGACAGAGTCTCACTCTGTAGCATAGGCTGGAGTGCAATGGCACTATCTTGGCTCACTGCAACCTCTGCCTCCTGGGTTCAAGTGATTCTCCTGCCTCAGCCTCCCACATAGCTGGCATTATAGGCATGAGCCACCATGCCCAGCTAATTTTTGTATTTTTAGTAGAGACAGGGTTTTGTCATGTTGGCCAGGCTGGTCTCGAACTCCTGACCTAAGGTGATCCACCTGCCTCGGCCTCCCAAAGTGCTAGGATTACAGGCATGAATCACTGTGCCTGGCCAATTTCAATATTTGTAAAATTTTTAATCTGAATATTGATTAGATTGTTTTGTTTTTTTGTGTTGTTGTTGTTGTTTTCCAGATGGAGTCTCACTCTGTCACCCAGGCTGGAGTGCAGTGGTGCGATCTCAGCTCACTGCAACCTCTGCCTCCCGGGTTCAAGCAATTCTCCTGCTTCAGTGTCCCAAGTAGCTGGGACTACAGATGCATGCCACCACGCCCAGCTAATTTTTGTATTTTTAGTAGAGACACGGTTTCACCATGTTGGCCACGATGGTCTTGATCTCTTGACCTTGTGATCCACCTGCCTTGGCCTCCTAAAGTGCTGGGATTACAGGTGTGAGCCACTGCGCCTGGCCTGATCAGATTGTTTTTTAAATCTATGAAAGAATTTCGTGCCTTTTTCATAGTCTTACATTGTAACAAAACTTTAAAAATTAAAAAAAATTAATATAATTATAAACATAACAAAGGAAATTAAAACTATAGGAAAAGAACTGAAATTTTGTTTCCCTTTATTTCAACCAGTTCAATTCAGATACTGTCTTTACCTAGAACAGAAAGAATAATTATTCTCAAAGTGACCAGCTTAAAACCAAATAATTAGGAATTTTGCAATATGTAAAAACAATACATTAAAAAATCAATTATATGAAGATTGGTATGACAATCTGTAAACAATACCCACATAATGTGGGTCCATTTTAAAAGGGTACAAGGTAGCCTAAAATTTACTGTCATTTTTATTTTGCATATTCTATTTGAAAATATTTTTCTTAGATTTGATCAACACTTGGGTCTTCTAACATACAGATATCACCTAACCTTTTGTAGCAACATACAGCTTACAAAACGTCTAGAAAAAATAAAGTTTTAATAATTTACAAACTGCTTTCTTCAGTGTTGTGATTGGAGCTGGCATTTTGACAAAACTTATATTTTGAAAAGCATGAAGGCAAAAAGTCCCAAATTACTCAGCTCAAAACACAAAAATGCCATCCCCGTTTCACACCATGGTCCCACCCCAACCCTACCTCCTGCCACCACCATAGATAAATAAAAGCAATAAAAACAGAAGTTAACAAATCTCTCACATTGTATGAGGATATTAAAATAAACAGCAATCGGCTAACATCAAATAGAGGATATAATTTGTCTGGATCCTAGACAAACATTCTGATGAAGAATAATCCAGCAGTGGGTGAATTTGCCTGTTGAAGTCATTAGAACAGAGTCCTTGCTCATCCAGGGTTTAGAAAGAATCCTCCAATGTTTTAAAAATGCATGAAGGATGGAGGGAAAAAATGCATGAAATTAGATATTATTTTATCTTGAGATTGTCCTTTTTTATTATAAAGATGCAAATTTTTTGTGACACCGATTTTCACTTATTTTTTTACTTAAAAACCTGAAAGCTCTTACTCCATATTCAACCTTCTCATTTGACCACATCTGTTCACAATGCTTCTACAATGCATCTTTTAATGTACTTTACCTCATAATTAATGAGGAAAAAATTCTGAAGTCTCAGAAATACAAAAGTCACATGTTAGAAGGGAATATATTATTTTAATATTTGCATGTTTATATGAATGATTCATGAATTTAGCAGAAAGAAAATTTTAAACAACACATATGATATCTGTAAATGACAACATAGCAACCAAAATGTATCGATATAAATTGAGAAACTTGGAACTACAGAGAATATTGACCTTTTAAAAAAACTTTCATGTGTATGATTGGCATGTTGAGAAACAGAATTGCCATATTTTTATAAAAAGAAAACTGCAGACTTCTGATTTTCCTCATGCAAAAAGAATAATGCACTCTTCTTCATTTAATATATATTGATGCATCATTTTAAATATTTATACAAAGCAAGCAAAACCTAAACATGTTTACTCCGTGAGTATCTCTGTTTCACCTCTGACAGAATACCATTTCTTGACTTAGAATCATTGATTCCAAAGACACATACATTCATTTATAAGGTATATTCTACTAAGTTTGAATCATTTATCCTTAGGAACAGCTTTCTAGATTCAGACTTACCTTTTAAGTGAAATTAAAATTTAAGCTTAAAAATGCATATGCCATATATAAATGTGAATTTCTTCCATTCACATTTAAAATGCTGGAAGTTTCTTTTATATATAGAAATAGAAGTGCTATTGTAATTCGTGAGTAGTTATAATTAAAGAACAGAACATTTATAATATTTACAAACATAACATTGATAACAGAAAAAAAAAAACCTAATCTTGATTTTAGAAAAAACACTACTTTGAACATATCTCCAAAATTTATATTCTAAATTATGGATCTAATAGAAAGAATGTAAAGTTGCCATTTAGCAGTTAAAAACAAAACATCATAGCTTTTATTCAGCTGATAAATCCCCAACTCTAAAATTTCAGATTATAAATAGGCAGTATTGGGAATACGGCATATTACACTGAGCCACAAAAGAGTGGCAAATATTCAAAATTAAATGTTTTTCATCCTTTGGAAACAATATGCATATTACTGATGCCTGACATAAATGGCCTTTGCTCCATTTGACATTTAATCAAGTAGTTGGTATTAAAACTGGAGACAGAAAAGATGTGTTGAAAGCAGTTACTTGTATAGTGAGATTTGCAGAAAAACTACATGTGGTTTCCATTGTCCCATAGCCAACATTTTGGAATTCTTACAGAATGATATATTTACATTTCTCAAAACTGAAAATGTCTGCCTTCTTATTGAAGTTTACCATATGTCAAAACACATCAAAAGCTAAATATTTTATATAAAGAGGGAGAAACTGACTAATCTATAATATATATAAGATTAACCAAAGGAAATTTAAGAATGTCAAAAGCAGTGTTCTAGCTGTCGGGTAATTAATACTTGGGTAATCCTTGATAAATCATAACCAATGTTTTAATTTACATGACTCTACCAAATATGTCAATTATATTCTTAGACAGCTTGTTAACTGAGTAACTGATGTGTAAAAATTAATAAAATATCACTACATTTAATCAATGCAAAGGTACTCAATGTAAGATCTTCATATTTATTCAATTAAGTAAACTCCATTAGTAAACACAATGACCTCAGGGCCTAAATCATTTTTTAAAAATGCATCGTTTTCATGGAAGCTTTTTGAATTTGCCTCAAAAATTAATTATGAAGAAAACTTTTCTCAGTTTCTGTGCACAGAAATTACCTCCCCAAACCCTTGAAAGCAAATATTAGTAAGCACAGCTCATCTATATCAGTGAGATGACAGAAGCATCAAAAGCTTAAGCTGTATCCAAAGATTACATGAGTCAACTTACTGTACATGCACAGACATTTTACTGTTCTGTAGGCATGCTGTTGCAAGCATAATATCCATTTAACATATGGTAAAGATAGGGAACTGTGAAATGCACCTAGAGAAAAAAACAGCTAATGACAAAGAGCAGGTAAGTGAACACTTCAAACCTCAAAACATATACCAATCAGCAAGTCAGAATAACATCTCTCCCAGGATATGAACAAAAATGACTAACACAGATTTTATTGCTTACATCTTTTAAATCATAATAACTGAAAAGGTTATATATAGATCTAATCCAAGTGAACCTAGAGTCACAAAGTGTTACCACTAGAAGAATAATTGTATCAGATGCCTAACTAATAAGTATTTTATCAAGACCTGGCAAATAAAGTTGAGAGGGGAAATTCTAAAAGGTGACAGAATCATGGGCAATAATAATGGAGGCTTATAAAACACATTCCATGGTTGATAAAGTGGTTGACTTCTTGAGAGAGCTGTAAAATTATCAGGGAAAGGAGAGCAGATGTTACACATTTGGACTTGGTAAAGCATTCGATGCACTGCCTCATGAAAAGTGACTTGAAAAATTAGTCCAAATTGGCTTGGATCTGATCAGTGTCACACAGATTGAAAACTGCCTGAAAATCAGTAAACAAAAGATCTTAACAAATGGCTATATATCCACTTGGGGTAGAGATCAGCCACTGGAATTGGTGTTAAATCTGGTTTTAGTTAATGGTCTTATGAATAGCTTCTTAAAATAAACAATTTTAATAGAATTTTGAAATGCTGCTGCATTGGGAGACAATGCTTACAAAGGAGAGAATTGAAAATGATAGTGTTAGAGAGAAGAGTTAAATGCACAGGAAATAAAGTGAAATTTAGCTTGTAAAAATTCACTACAGAAAATAAGATGTGACAATAAAATAATGATTCTTATTTTTTTTAACATAGATACCAGAACTTACAGATACAAATAAACCTTGTTTTTCAAAGTAGTCACCCTGAGAAACCAAACACAGTCCAGCAATACTGTCACAGTTTAAAATGTTTCTGGGGAATTCATCTTTGAAATTGCCTCAAGCAAGTAAGTGCCAGTAAACTTTAGAAACCTTTATGAGCCATATAAGAAAATGTGTCTTATCACAAAACAACCATGCTTAATTTTTGTCCCACACTTCGTTTGTAATAATAATAATAATAATAAAATTATACTCCCTAGCTTCTTCATCAGACTTAAGGCCAACAGCCTTTGGCTAGTTCCAACACTAAATCCACCCTCAGAGAGCTAAGATTTCTCTCTACTAAAATTATCTTTAAAAAATACTAGACATATCCATTTCAGTCTTATTCATTCCACTAACATTTATGACAACCTATTATATATCTATCCCTACTACAGGCATAGTTAAAGATATTGTGTGTTCAGTTCCAGATGACCACAATAAAGTATCATGATACATGAGTCATATGAATTGCTTTATTTCCTAGTGCATATAAAGTTATGTTTACACTATACTGTAATCTAAGACTACAATTGCATTATGTCTAAAACAAGGATGTACATACCTTAATCAAAAAATACCTTTTTTGCTAAAAATGCTAATGATCATCTGAGCCTTTAGTGAGTCATAACCATTTTGCCGACGAAGGGCCTTGCCTGTATATTGATGGCTGCTGACTGATAAAGGTGGTGGTTACTGAAGGTGGTTGAGGTTGCTGTGGCAATTTCTTAAAATAAGACAACAATGAAGTTTTCCACATCAGGTGACCCTTCCTTTCACAAAAAATTTCTCTGTAGCACATGATGCTGTTGGATAGCATTCTAAATCCCTTATTGTCACTTCAAGAATGTTCATAGTATCTTCAACAGGAATAAATTCCATCTCAAGAAATTATTTCTTTTGGTCATCCATAAGAAACAACTCCTTATCCATCAAATTAATTATGAGATTGCATACATTCAGTCATATCTTGAGGCTCCACTTCTAATTCTAGTTATCTTACTATTTCTAGCACATCTGCAGTGACTTCCTCCACTGAAGTCTTCAGCCCCTCACAGTCATCCATGAGGGTTAGAATCAACTTCTTCCAAACTCCTGTTAGTGTTGATATTTTGACCTGTCATGAATCAGGAATGTTCTTAATGGCATCTAGAATGGTAAATCCTTTCCACAAGGTTTTCAGTTAACTTTGCCCAGATCCATCAGAGGAATCATTGTCTATCATAGCTATAGCCTTACAAAATGTATTTCTTAAATAATAAAACTTAAAAGCAAAAAATATTCCTTAATCCATGGACTGCAGAATAAATGTGGTGTTAACAGGCATGAAAACAACATTAATCTCTTTGTACATCTCCATCAGAGCTCTTGGGTGACCAAGTGCTTTGTCAATGATCAGTACTCTTTTGAAAGATACCTTGTACTCGGCCATGAGAAATTAATATCTTCTGTGAAGAAGGCAGAAGCATTCCAAATCATTCTGAGGATTATTCTTTACTAATGTAGCTTTTGCAGCTTTTAATATTTAGATAACACAGGGTCTGGTGAGTAGGAGTCTCCAAAGTTTAGCCTACCTGATTGTCTTCTTTTCTTTATTCTTTCTACACTTCCAACTTCCTCTGCCTTCCAACCCCATCCCATGCCAACCATGTCCTTCCCTGCCTTTCAGCTACCACTGCCTCCAACAATGACAGACCTCAAGGGAAGTCAGAAAAGGATAGTCTGACAGTTAAAGCAGAAGAAGGAAAAGAGTCTAAGCACCCAGTAGGTATTTAATAAATATCTGTTTCATAAATAAATAAATGAGTTATGTGCAGCTAGGCATCTAGAATGAGTAACTTGGGAGAGAGAAGGAAGACAGAAGGATGATCTGGGAGAAATGGGAAGTGGCTCAAGACAAAAATACAAAAAATTAGCCAGGCGAGGTGGCTGGCGCCCATAGTCCCAGCTACGCGGGAGGCTGAGGCAGGAGAATGGCGTGAACCCCAGGAGGAGGAGCCTGCAGTGAGCCGAGATCACGCCACTGCACTCCAGCCTGGGCGACAGCGAGATTCTGTCTCAAAAAAAAAAAAAAAAAGAGAGCTTTCCATGGGGTGGGTAGAAAAAGAAAACTTCTCCTTTAAGTAGTGAAGAGCTATGAAGGAGAGGGTCATAGAAATTGACACTATTTGGGAGACTTTCCTTCCCTCTCTGGTTGGACCATATTTCAGTCAAAGAGCATAGTCATGCCTTTTTATATATTCAGTCCACAAACCTACTTACTGTTTTTCTCATTCTGTACCCAATTAGGTAGGAAGAGAAGCATGGGATGATGGGATGGCTGGGGTAGTGTGGGGCTAGAGGATGGGATTAGGGAGTGAGACAAGGCTAAACCCATCTCACTGTGCCACTAATCTCAGGAGTTATCATGTTATCCAGAAATTCCTAACCCCACTTGATTCTATGAGCAGCTCTCTGGTGAACAGAGTTCATGGTATGAAAGAGATAATCAACTCAGTGTGCAGATCCATTGTTTTGTCACTGATACAATGGCAGACATTCCAAAAATGAATCTTCACCTTGCCTGTCAAAGCCTATCTATTCTAATTCCCCACCCTGATCTTGGAAAACTACAAAAAGGACCAATTACCCTCTGAGTTAGTCAGAGCCTTATTTGTACTCAATGAGGAATCACATACAGGTACACAACCCTTCCAACAGCATAACTGGTACTGACTATTAACCTAGATCAATAGTCTCAACAGAAAAGGTCAAAGGTCCAATGGGCTCTGGGAACCCCAGACCACATTACTCTCCACCTTGACCAACTTGACAGACAAGCTCAATTGCCCAGGCTGTTCCCTTTCAGTCAGTGCATTAGCAAAGAACTTCAGAGCTTGAAACTAACAGTCCTTTTCTTTATATTAAATACCAAAAAAGGTAAATAATAATAAGCAGAAGATGACAAAGAAGGAATAAGAACAAAGAGAATAAAACAAGACAAAGATTTCCATTGCCGACTCACTTTTTATAAAAGAATATACATAATTTTGCAGATTTCCTCTATAGGAGGCTTCATTTTATAATGAGAGATTTGTGGGAATTCTGCTATATGGCATGTAGAAATCTGTATGGCTGAGTAACAGCGTACTCGAGGGTATGGCTAAATATCTTGGCCCTGAGTTTTGAGGGGACTCTTGCTACTGAACACTTAGAAGGTCCCCTGGCATTAAAAAATGACAAGAAGCTCTTACACATATAAACAATTCAGAAACTGCCTACATTTGTTTTCTATTGCTGCTACCACACATTATCATAAATTTAGTGTCTTAAAACAATACAACTTGATTATTTTGCAGTTCTGTAGCCTAGAATTCCTACACAAGTTTCACTGTACTAAAATCACGGTATAGAAAGGGCTGCATTCCTTCTGCACACTCTGGGTGAATTTCTTGCCTTACCTTTTTCATCTTCTAGAGGCCACTTGCACTCCCTGCCTCCTCCAGCTTCAAAGCCAGAAACTTTGCATCTCTCTGAACATTCTTCCTTAGTCACATCTCTCTGAGACTTTCCTCTTTGGCCTCCCTCTTTTAAGTACCCACGTAATTACAGGGGATGCACCCAAATAATCCAGGATACATTCCCTATTTTAAGGTCAACTGACTTGCAAACTTAATCCCCCTTTGTCATGTAAGCCAACATATTTACAGGTTACAGGGATCAGGATGTGGATATCTTTGGAGGGGGCATTATTTTGTCTAACACACTTCTCTGTTACTACCAAGGCAAATCAGAGGACCTGCCTTTTTCTTTCCAAAGCTTCCTTTGATGGCTATTCTTACCTAATCTCACCTGTCTAAAAAGTTTTTAAAGGAAGTCTAGAACTGAAACTCACCCAGGGAGAATCCTGGGCCCTTTTAGGCAAGCACTGGGCAAGACTAATTTTAATGGAAATTATGTAAGCCTTAAAAGAAACACAACTGCTGACAAGTGAGAATTTCAGTAAATAAATATATTGCACACAAGACAGATAATTACATTTTAAGCCAGTAATGCCAGTAAACATAATACAAAACAATGTAGCACAAGTACTGAAAATTTGGATAGACTAATAGACTTTTTTGAAGTCATTTTTAAGGGTAGTTTATTTTATTCTTCCTTTCCACGGAAGCATAGAAATGTATTCAATAAATATGCAACAGAAGGACAATCAATCTAATATCAAAGTGACTAGAGAGTTAATGCCAGGGCTCCATGGGTATGCTGACATTCCAGAATAGAGAGGACTGAAGGTCAGAGACTCTGGGTAACCTGCACATTAAGAACGTCCTCAAGTTATCGGGGGGAAAGATAGAGTCCTTTCTGTTCTACACAAAGGGGCAGATCTAAAATCACAGTCCCTCAAAATCTCTAAAAATTTTTGCAAGATTTGAAGAGAGCTTTGTTCCAAACTCCAGTGCACACAATATAAACACACATTATCAATACTTACAATAAGAGATTGGAATTAAAGTGCACACCACCTCCCAAAGTTTTTCAAAACTGCTTCTAATCACAAAAAGGTAAATTAAAAATCCTCTCTATGTTACAGTAGTTTAAAAGGTAAATAATGGAAGTAGAAAGGAGATGTACATTTGTTGAAACCTGTTATGTACCAGGCACCTTACATAACTTATTTTTATTTGATCCTCACAATAATTGGCAAGGTGTGTGCTGCAGGACACTAAGAGGTCATAGATTTTAGGAGGCTAAGAAATGACCTAAAACTTTACATCTAATAGTTGGTATAGCAAAGATTTGAAGTCAAGAATATCTGCCTCTAAAAATTAGCCGTATACTATGACAACACATCCCAAATAAAGATGTATAAAAAGTACTTGGCTCTTCATAGATATTATATAAAATATGGGACAATATTAGTGATATACCTAAATTTAGACATTAGAAAGAAGTCCTTCTTAATTTACTCTGTAATTGTAACTCAGTTGTTCATCTTACAGGTCCCTATAGTAATAATTAAACATTCCTTTCTTTGTTTTATATGTGTTTTCAAACTGCTATTAAAGATCCTTGGTCAGCAGCCTTTATATCTTTTGGCGTTTTGCTGCTAATGCTCGGTAAACATGGGCAGCCAAGGAAAATGCAGATGGTGCTATGGAACACAAACCACGACAACATATGGTATACATTTAGTCCTAACAAAGTGCGCTTCTTAACCTCTGGGTGTCGCTTCACCATTCCTTTATAAGACTACTCATTTCCAGGGAAGGTTTAGTTTCCAAAACCAGGGCAACAGGCCCACATGTGTTATATGGCCATTCAGATGCACAGATTATGTGTCCTAATACCTTTAAGCAAGTGCATTTAGCACATGCTTCCTAGCACTATCATGTGTATTTATGAACTGTTTTGCCCAGATGGTAAGCTCCTCGAGGACAAGTGCCATGCCTGAAATCTCACCTTATTAACTGTGCATGGCAGAGTAACAATGTTATCTATCTTGCATATAGAGACACACAACCTATAAATTGCTCTTCTAGGTAAACCTCCTAACTACACTGCTACATTGTGACAATTGTCACATCTTCTAGATGAGGCTCACACAGGCTAAGCAATTAGCCAGAATCACAAACTAACAGGCAATGTTTTCTTCTTGCCCACAAGAGAAAGCTTTTCTTGTCTTGCAACACTTTATTGTTTTTTTCTTTTAAGGTTTTTATTACAAAGGTCAATGTCTATTGGCCTTTTAATAAAAGTAATTATTATTTAGTACTTAGTATACATATGCAAGGCATTGTTCTAAGGGTTTTACAAATATTAACTCATTTAATCCTCCTAACCATTCCATGAGATAGACACTATTTTTATCCACATTTTACAGATAAGGAAACTGAGGGACAGAGAGATTAACTTGTCCAAAATCAGAGGACTGGTAAACAGTAGCAGTGAAATTTGAATCCAGCAGTGAAGCATAGCTCCACAGTGTGTGCTCTTAAACATACACTATTCTGCTTGAATAAGAGTCTACAAAGATCCTTACTCAGGACATATGAGGAGTTGTTCAGCAAGAAAAGAAGCATGTTTACTCCTCCCTATTTGATGTATTTGATTATATTCTAAAACCTTTCCTCATGCCAATAGAACTCCGCGTATTATACTAAACTTTCCTGCACCGAAGGCATATGTAATGGTTACCTTGACTGACATGTAAAATACCCAAAACAAAATACCCCGAGACTCGAGGATTTTTTGTTTCATGAATTAGACACCAAAAAAAAAATTGTCTAGGCATCAGAAGTGTTATACACTCACATCTGTAAGTCTTTCTTGGGATTTTCAGATTTCTTATACAAGATTTTTTTTTGTCTGAAATATTTCAGTGCTCACTCAATGCCTGAGCTTGAAAATTATCTAATCCTTTTTAATTTTTTCATTTTCAGCTACTTTGCCTTCAGGCATAGGGCAGGGCAAGCACTTGCTTTCAATATGATGTTTAACACTTTTTATGTTTTTATTTTCGTCATCTTGAAAACATGCTAGTAAACATCCAAACATACTGTAAAGATTTAAAATTTGGGGTGTGTATACGTATATCAACAGGAGTTATGAATTATGTATATTGCAGGCCTATATAAATTAGATTTTGAAGAACAAGCATCACAGTAATCAAGCGGGTCATAATAAGACATTCCATGTGAAATGTAAAAACTACCTTGAATAAATTATCTGTAAGTTAACATTCTCATTAGAATGACATATTTATTATTTCTGGGTTTGTGATATTGCTTTAATGTATTTTGGCTAACTGTTTTAATGGCATATTAAGAAACCATTTCAGGCCTTTTTTCCCCGTTGGAATTTGCAGACTTTTATTTCCGTTTGAACTAAAATAATATAATATTAAAAACAATCCCCCACTTCCCAATGTACAATACCATTTTCTTCTGCCCAGAAATATTTAATTAAAGCAGGATATAACCTCAGTAATTATTTTTACACAGAATGACTCTTAAATTAATAGTCAGTTGTATGACTAAAAATTGGGAGACTGACAATCAAAACAATCTTAAATGCTTTGTTTATGTGATGAAAATGAGTGATCCTTTAATTCCCTCACACACATTAAACTGATTTCACAGATTTTCTGTACTGGTGTTTAACATAGTCAAGTGCTTGAGGTTATGTAAAATAAACAATCTTGAGATCTTATTGCAAATGTTTGCAATTTATGATGTAAACTGATTTGTGAAGAAAAAACAGGATCCTATGTCGCTGAAGCCAAAGAGGCATTTTTCAGAAATCAAAATAGTTCCGAAATTTGAGCATTGCATTATACTAAAGTATTACCATCTGAGGACCCAAAAAAGTTATAAATCTGGGGAAAAACTCAAAATAGATGTACATCAGTTCAGCTCCAAGCAAAGGCACCGATCTTACTATCTTACTGTGTCTCTTGTATCATAGGGTCCTTAACACTAATGATGTCTTAAACAATCTCTTTTAACTCAGTTTTTCCCAGTCATTGATTTTGCAACTCGGGAAGGTTTTGCATGCCCAAAAGATTTGGGGAGCAGAGGATGGGGGTGTCCTTTATTAATTATATTAGGATTATTGAGTTTCGACCCAAACTACAAGCATGTTGGGCCTTATTTAAATTTAAAGTGAATTCCTCAGACCCCTTCTTGGGATGGTTCGGGGAACTACGAGTTTGGAACTCTTGTTCACACACCGAGGCGCCTGCCCCAGAGTTTGGACACTGGCATTCCGGGAGAGCAGGCCTTGCGGGAGTCTGGACCCGAAGGGCGAGACTCCACAGGGCCAAGGAAAGCGGCCTCTGTCCTCCGTTAGTCTTGGGGGAGCAGACGCAAGAGGAGGCAAGGGCGCCGCGAGCTCCCCGGATGCACTGGTCCCACAGGCCGTGCCCGAGTGGAGCACTGCGAATGGGGCCAAGAAATTTTGGCCTTTCTCGCCGGACCTGGCTGCCTCCGCGGGCCTCTCCGCCTACCGCGCTCCCGCCGCGGCCCGACTCCCGCGGGTCTCCGCGCCGAACCCACCTGGCTCCTATCGCACGGGACATTCCCGACCCACCCACGCCGCGTCACTGAGCCTCTGTACCGATACCCGGCGCCTCCGCCAGCAGGGCCTGGACGCACCGCCTCCTTTGACCTCGGGCTTCCCCCGCGCTCCGCTGCTTGGGGCAGACTGGCCCCGAGAGGGAGCCACCATCTCCCCTGCTCCAGGGTCTCCAGGGTCCGAACCCGTGTTGGGATCTGGGTTAGGATTAGGGTTTGGAGCTTGGAGCCTGCCTGTTAGGACCCCCGGCCCCGGCGCCGACTGGAGCTCGCTGGAGGCCACAGGACCACGGCGGATGGCCTGGCTGCTTCAGGGCGTACCATGCCCGCAGGCAGATGTTTATTATTAAAAACTACCGACGTTCATCAACCAGGAGACCCGCAAGGCCTGCGCACTGAATACGGCCCAAATCCTGTTCAGTGGTCTTTGAAAGTTAAAAGAAAGAAACCTATCGCCCACGTCTATGCTGAGGAACAGCTTTGAATACGAGCTAAGACCTGGGAGAGGGCCAAGTGGGGGTGGTGGGGAACACTGCTGGAGGATGTGGGGCTTTGGCAGGGGTTTTACGCACCCTCCAGCACGAGGGTGGGGGGTCCCAGGGGACGCTCAGGACTCTTTCAGTCTTTGCGGAAGGTCCCGTCATCACAAGAGCCCGCGCGGGAAGGAAAGTTCCTGCCTTGGACATGGTCAGGGCCGAGTCTTCAAAGTCTCCAACTATCCCCACACAGGCAGCACCTTTGGGCTTTACTAGTGGGATTTCTTCCAGAAGGGGGCCACGACATGGGGAGAGAGAGCTCCTCATTATTTTCAAGGCCAGGCTTTTCCTAAACCCGATTCTGGCTTCCACCTTCTAAATTTAACCAATGAAGAAGCTGCTTCAGCCAACCCTAAACAGGAGTGTCAGATGGGGAATCCTCCCTCCACAGTGCCCTGGCCTGCCCGCCTTTGCGGCTCTTTTCCCGCTCCGAAGTCAGCACCTGCCCCGCTCCAGAGAGGGTCAACGAACTGGGACTGATTGTCGATTATGCCATACCAAACCCAGGTTGATTTCGCTCCGCAGGATCCCTCCTTCCTTCCTCCCAAAAGTGTCCCCAGATAAAGACTGGAATTATAGCAAAACGAATAACGAGAGTCCATCTTGGGGAAGGAAGTTACTCTATCCTATGTTATTTTACTTCTTATCTGTTCTTTCATTAATTTGGTATAACCCTGTTTCTATGCTGGGTGGATAAAATGGAGGGGGCCGGCGGAAATGCGCTCAGCGCTAACGACAGCCACAGAGCCACCCTTCTTACTGCCCCTTGACTGCGGCACGTAAGAGCAGAGGCAAGCGCTTTTCCAAGTTGGTATATTCGAGAGAGTGATACGCATTAATCAAAAGGGAAAGACTATCCCGGATATTTTAATAGTAACAGGAACAAAGATGACTCGAACCCCATCAAATGAAACGATATTTTCATTCAATTGATCGCAAAGTGTCTTCAATTAATAACTTGGCACTTATTTAAAAGGTTTAACAGAATTGGAGGCGACACATTTTGTACTGACAACACGTCATGAGATAACATCTTTTGTTTAAAATAACTTAATACACTAGAAAAAAATATGTCAAATATAAATAATTTTGTTTTCATGGAGAACAAATAGTTACAAAGCTCAACCGCATACCAAAGTTCAGTTAGAAGAGCTTTTCCTCTTTCTTGTAAATTAGAAGGTAAAACAAAAACAAAAACAAAACCCCACAAACTTAGGCTTGCTAGCGAATTGGGATACAGACTGGCTTAGTCCAAGGTATCCCAGTTTAAATAGCTACATGAATTGAAACAAACAACCAAAAGAAAAAAAAAAACAAAAAAGAAACAAACAAACAAAAAAAAAAGGTTACTTGAATAGATACACCTTTGTGAGATAAAATGCAAATGTTGAAAGTCAGTCCACACATTATAGTCAAAATAAACTTTGTTCGTGTGTATCAACATATCTTACACAAACCTAGTGCCTGTATCTAGCTGGGTGTTATTTAAGGTGAATTTGACGGGATAGAGAGGGGGAAATAAACCACTGTCTTCAAATAGGACTTCAGGAAACCAACAAGAAGGAACACAAGAAAAGGGGAATGGTGGGAACTAATACTGATTGAGCGCCTACTGTGTCTGGCACAGCGAGGCGCTGTACCTTCATTATTTCATTTGGTGGTCTTGTTTTCTTTTTCCTTTCCCCACATATTCTGCCCACCTCTGTCTTCTTAGGACAATGAGTGTAATTTTTTCCCTTTCTGACTTTTTTCTTTTGTTCCCCAGGATCAAAGACAGGGCAAATATATATATATATATATATATATATATATATATATATATATGGCAAATATATGATATATATATATGGATATATATATATCAATTTCCAGATACTTTTGGTATTGTTTTTCATAGTGAAGATGAAAATGGAGTGAGTGCATGGGAGATAAGGGGGTGGGAGGAGACACACCATCAATGGAATACAAGTAACATGCAAACCGGAATTTACTGTCAGCAGTCCAGACAGTTTTGCCATAATAATTTCTCAGAGAAATCATTGTCTGTGGCATTTTTTTGTGTTAATATTATTTTTCTCTCTCCTCGTTTTAATATTTTCTCTTTTCTTGCTCTTCCATACATGGTGGGTTTAAACTCAAAGCATCTGATTCAACGTAAAAGGAGGCCCGCCTCTCTCATCAAATTTCTCGTGTTAACGTGAACTTCGCAGAAAAAGGTCAGTTTCAAAACCTGTGAACTTCCCAGCTGCGCACTTTTTTCATCTTAGTTTTTTAAATAAGTATACCTCTTCTTTCTGCTTTGCCTTCTTAGCGCATTTTTAAAAACACACATTTAAGTTGGTAACTCCCCCCAGTCTCTCGAGAATCGTCTGGGTTGTTTTTCCATATTTTTAAATGTATAAAATACTTTAATTTTAAAATTTGTTTTTGCTCCTTGGTTCTCCAATTTCAGCTTCTGCCAAATAGCAGTTAAGAAATAAGTTCCCTTCCTCTTTTTCTCTCCCGTTTGTCTTTCGATTTTTTTGTTTGCTCATTTTTTCATTGTTAACAAGATTTTTTTTTCTATGCAAGAGTCCATCGTTGCAGCTTTGCGGTGAGCCAAACTCCGCGGTTCCAGCACTCCCCTGTCCAGTCTCTCTCCAGACTCCCCCAAACCCGCTCCTACAAAACCCAATTCTAGGCCCTCGAGTAGGAAAACGGGCAGGAGCCACGGAGCCTGCGTGCCTCGTGAGATCCCTGGTCCTGCGTGGAGTCTGGCTTTCCGAGTCCAAGATGCGATAGGGGACGAGGGATGGTCAGTGAGGCGGGAAGAGGGCCGGCTCCCGAGGTCTCAAAGGGGTAACGGAGAAGCAGCGGGGCGCGGAGGGCGTGCAGGCTGAGTGCCGCGGGACAGGCGCGACATTGGTGCTGGCGTTGGCGTCACAGACCCAGGGCTGCGGCGTGCTTTTTGGCTTTCAGTCTGAGATCGGCGATGCTGGAGTTCTTGCTGGTGGTCTTGGCGGCTGCTGCGGCCGCCACTACCGAGGCGGCGGAAGCCGAATCCGCGGCCAGCGTGGCGAGCGGCAGTCCGAAGGGCGGTGCTGGGAACATCATGTAGGGCGCGTGCGCGGCCAGGTGCGGATGCAGGTGGTGGTGCGCGTGCGCCACAGCGCTGTCCAGCTGCAGCTGCGCCTGAACCTGAAAGGACAAGGGCGTCACGTTGCAATGACTATCCTAGGGTGACAACAGAATAGAAACAGAGCATTAACGGCGTCCAGCTTGGCCAGAGAGAGAGTTGGGTTGTGTTTGGGCACGGGGAGAGGGCATTTGGCTGTGCATCTTGTTCCGACAGTGACCTTCTCAGCCTGTTGCTGAATCTGGGGTTCCACATGGATACTCCAGTGTCCCCTGGGTCTCCGAAACTCGCTTAGGGTAGGCTTATTTCCCCGGACCCCGGGAACCCCCTTCTGCAGGAATGTGGCCGTCTCCCCTGGGAACTGGGCTGAAATGGTATATTGGAAAGACTGCGGGTGAGGACCCTTACCCTCTTCTCTTGATGCTGCCATGCATCTCTTACCCCACTACCAAAACAACGGAGTATCAACAAGCAAACTACGCAACTTTTTAATGTCATTCAGGGAAGTTACTCCATCTTCACCACAATAGGCACAATTGTGAGTCGGTACTTCTAACCTTTATTGCCATAACAATTACCCAGGGATCTCGTTAAAATTCAGATTCTGATTCGCAAGGTCTAGGTTGGGGCCTGAGATTCTGAATTTCTAACAATCTCCCAGACGGTGTTGTTGCTGCTGGCCCAAAGATTACCTTTTGAGTAGTAAAGGTCTCCTTTTAAAGTCACCCCTCCCTCTTTCTTCAGTCATTCTCTCTTGTTTCCAAAGCCAAGCATCAGGATGCCAGAGTCCTGTGGCACCAAGAGAGCTAAGATCTCCCTAACACCGACTCTCAATTCATGGTCACACCTATCTGTCTCCCCGGTCCAAGTCACTGGAGACTGAGAGCTAATTCATGACATCACAGGCATGCCAAGCAGGGGTCCTGGCTGAGGATAGGGAAGGTCAGACACTGGTTGGGAAAGGATTTCGCCCTCAGGCTTGGAAAGTGGGGAGTTCAGAGCACTGGGATTTCCCAGGATTAAATCATTGCTGCAGGCTGTCCTTTTAAAATGTACTCTTAAAGGTTTCTTTATGGCTAAGGGATTGCAAAGGCAGGGCAGCCCTGGGAAGACCAAGACTTCTCTCTTTACCAGAGATGAAGCTTTGTTTGCAGAAACAGATTTAAAAACAAAAGAACGAAAAAACAAAAGTATGAGCTGGGAGTACTTGTGTTTATTTTTCTTCTGTCAGAGTTATTTAATGTGACTAAGAGGTAGAAAATACCTAGAAAAGTATCTAGAGGGTTGCCTTAGAAATACCTTAGGACTAACCTCTGTATTGGATTTGACAAAATCTTAATCAAAAGGCTTTTCCTTCCTCTCTCTCTAAGGGCAATCTTTAGTGTATTTTTAAAGGACCAGTTACTGCCCCCAGGCCCCTTCAGGGATTCCCATGAGGACAGAAGGGACTAGGCATTCAGGCCTTTAATACCGTATAGGTTTTTAAAGGGTAGTGGGTCCACTATATCATCTCAAAATGATTCTCCAACTATGCAGACATTGACATCTGGGCTCAGAGACAGGTGATGTTCAACAGTTCAAGCAAACATTCAGGTATTTTCATATTTAAAAACAGCTTGAAACTAGGCTGTACTTGCCTGCTGAAATGGCATCCTTAAAGCACCTACGTTGACATAAGGTGCGACTCTACAAGCTTCAAACTGGCTGGCGGCCCCTATGAGAACACCTGTAAAAAGTACAAGAGAAAAATAATGTGAGGTTAACGTTTGTAGCATTTTTCAGGGTTCCAAAGGGTACAAGACAGAACGAATTCCTTTGAAAATGGACTATTATCTTTCTAAACTGCATCCAAAATTTAAATAAATGTAACTTACTCCCAAACTTTAGGACTCCATTAACAGCCTTTGAAGATTATTAAGTCAAGAACTATTGTCATTTTTGAGGTTCCTTTTTTTCTGTCATTGTAATAGTAATATTCACTACTTCTCTCTTTGCTCAGACTATCAAATGTTCCTTGTATAAGAAGCATACCTTTATGGAGTTGATTTTCTTGTTTTCTACATTTAGCTCTTCGATTTTGAAACCAAACCTATAGGTTGGAGGGGGAAAAAAAATAAAACCTAGATGTTATGACTAAAAATTTTTTTAAATTACAAAAGTACAAAGAGAAAAGAGTCGTGGTTTAGACAAGAATTGGGAGATACAGCAAGCAATCTTTGAATTGTATAAAACAGCCTCAAATTCCAAAGTTAAACATGTAAATTAACTACAGAAATAGAAAGATAGATTTTATAGACTTTCACAAGATAGATTACTATTAGTCCTGATTTCATCTTTTCACATAACAGAGTCCCCATGGCCTAAAACTCTGCTTGGTACCTGATACCAACATGATAATGGTTTAGATATTTGCCCAGTTAAGACCTGAGAAGAATGTGTTCATTAATAGCCTGTAATGTTAATTAGCTTCATCTTAAAGAAAAACCAAACACCAGAGCAAATAATGACTCCTTTGCGGAGAAGGAGTTGTAAGGGTTGGGGAGAGGTAATTAGTGTCATAAAAGCCTCACTACAAAGAAGTTTAGAATTTCTCTGTTCTGCTGTGCAGCAGAGTGAAACACAGTAGCAGAATAATTGTGCACCATTATCATGATAATCTAATTTGCTTCTTTAGAAAAAGCCACTGTTTGCAGTTAGGATAGTAGGAAAACATCTAGAAAATAACTAAAATGTAAATAAAAGTATGAAACAACAATAAAGTTCACTTCTTAAGAGAAAAAAAGAAGAGCACTCAGCGAAAGGAGAATGAAGTATATATAAAGCAAGTAACTCTTAGGTACTTTGTTCTCCTGGATGTTACCTGCTTAAACTTGACAACTTTTACAGGCAGTATGACAGATTTTTTAAAATTCAAATAAAGCTTGCTTTTGTATTCCACTTTCAATAATAAAGCATATTGATTGACTCACAAATTAAAGTTTTTAAAACCCCATTAAAGTAAAAATACTGCTTCAGAGCTTTCATTGGTATGTTTTTGAAAGCAAGTGTCATAGTCAATGTAAATCTTCAAAAATTTCTCTGCTATTTAGTACAACAGAGGGTGGATTTTGTGCCAGGGTGGCATCCTTTGTGTAATTCACATGGCCTGAGGCTTCTTGCCTTTTTTTCCCCTAGAAGAGTTGGAATTAAGATACTAATAATCATAACTGTAATAATTATCATCATGTTTTTAAGGGGTTGCTGAGCCTCTGGAGATCTCAGTGCACAGAGCGAAGCAGGAGAGGCTTAAAAAGGAAGGCTCTGCTGCTGATGCTGTGATGACCAAGGCAGCCTATTATTACTTTTCCTCTTCAACGTGACTGCTCTGTTTTTTTTTTTCCTGATCCTGTTACAAGATGTGGGGAAGCCCCTTAAGAATTGTGCATAGTTCGCTACAGATGGTGGTCTCTGTGCCCAGAGACCGAAAGAGTATCTGTTACAGCGATACTTTGTAACAGCTGCAGATGTGCGGGCCTAAAACTGCTCCATGTGTTCAAACCAATAATAACTATCATTTTATTCTATTTTATTATCTGAGCGGAAATACAATCTGAAACATTTAAATTTGTTCCCCCTAAAGCTAGAAGGATATGTGTATGTGAATGTACACAATTTGCTCCTTTAAATGCCCCCAAAGCCTATTTTTGCTATTACATTTGCCTCCACAACCAATAAAGAAAATCTGTTTCAGTCCTAACTTCATTGGGTATGGCACGTGCTGGAGGGCAGGCTTTGGAAATATAAATACTAATATATGTGGTTTGTTTTAAAATCTAATGTATTTAGGGTCAGTTTCGTTGCCTTGGTTAAATGAATGAACAAAGAGTGACCAAAATGCGTTTATTTCTCCGCTATTTCACACACAGTTTGAGATCGACCGCTAACAGCAGACTGTAAATTTCTGCACTTAACAGTTACTAATTTTCTTTATAGTCTGCACATCTATAAACCTAATTGGGATATCCGCTTGACAAACCTAGACCCTGCAGAGCAGACTTTCAAGGAAATCCAACTCCAGAGAACAAAATACTCTTTGGAACTTTTAAGGCATCCAGAGATAAAACGTTTTCTGTGGGATTTTTTTTTAAGCCTTATAAAAGTAGGCCCATTAGGATTAAACCACATTAAAGCCAGTGCGAGGCAAGGGGGGTGTGGTTTATAGAAACTCTGGGAGAAAGCCCAGCACAGCTTTCTTCTTCTGGGAACATATGTTAGGATGGAAAAAAAAAAAAGGAGGGGAGTGCTATAGGACTAAGATCTACTTTGGAAAATAAGACCTCTAGTAAAGATATCTCTTTCCTTCTCATCTTACACCAGACACTAGAAGCACCACCTCCCGAGTGTGTCCCCCAAGCCTCTTTCCAACCCCAGGCTCTCTCTGCTCCCTGGGCCCTCGACCTCCTGGCAGCTGGGTACCTGCACTCGGGCCTCCGACAGGCCCAGTCGCTGGCTCAGTTCCTCTCGCATGAAGGCGTCGGGATAGTGGGTCTCGTCAAAAAGCCTCTCCAGCTCATTGAGTTGTTCCAGGGTGAAATTGGTCCGACTTCGCCTCTGCTTGATTTTGGTCTGGCCTTCGTCCTCCATCCCTTTCGCATCCTCTTTGCGATCTTTCAGCTCCGGGGACACTGGAGGGGGCACCCCAGCGGGGCCACACGTGCATCCACACGAACACACACACACACGCACACACACACGGACGAAAACAGCACAGCAAATCCTGTTACCAGATTTGTCGCAAAAAAGAATAGAGAATCCTTCCCCCTCGTGGAATCCTGGTCCGGCTTCTCAACCCACCCGGAGGAAGAATATCCCGGAGAAGCGCAAAGGTCAAGTCTGAGCGGCCGCCTGGGGCAAGGTGGGCAGTCATCCACCACCTCCTTCACAAACGTACCTCGACTCACCGCCTCACTATTCACCCCCCAGTCACCGGCCTTCCCCAGCAAACACCAAATGGTTTCCACTCACTTTCGCACTCACTTGCTCCGCAGCACTCACAGAAATCAAAGGCGCAGCGCCAGGCCTCTCACAGAGCAAAGTCTGGACATAAGGGCGCGGCAAGGCCACCCACTGGCCTCTCACACCGGCCATTCCCAGAAGGCTGGCTCGTTCTCAGGCCAGCTCTCACCACCGCTGGCTCTCTGCCTACCGCAAACTTGCTGGTCTAATTTAGGAACAATTGGGCCGAAAGGTATCAGCGAGAGCAACAGACCCCGGTGTTGTGCCGCACAGGGAGCCGCATCCGCAGACGCCCCTCGCTGCCCCTGGGCTCGGGCCAAACCCTGCATAAGGTCCCCTGGACAGCCAGGTAATCTCCGTCCCGCCTGCCCGACCGGGGTCGCACGAGCACAGGCGCCCACGCCATGTTGGCTGCCCAAAGGGCTCGCCGCCCAAGCCGGGCCAGAAGGCAGGAGGCGGAAAACCAGCCTCCGGTGGCGGGCGAAAGCAACCGCTCTTTCTGTTCTCTCTTCGCCCTCCCTCGTGGAAACGCAGACTCGACCCTAAACGCTTAACCCACAGAGATCAACAGGTTCAAGCGGAATATTCGCGATCCTCGGTTTCTATTGGTTGCTCAAAGCCTTTTCATGCAACCAGCAGCTCGGATGTTTAATAAAATATGAATTTTTCTGCTCTGGGTTTGCACACATCCGTTGCCACTTTCCTGTCCTTCTCCTCCCTTTAAAAACAGGAGCTCTTCTAGTGTGAGCATATACAGCCACCATATATATATCCCCCTGGAACCTTTATCCTCTGCGCCCGAATCAGAGACTCCGGGTTTTAAGAAGTCAAAGCTGAGTTTAGATAGTCGAGGCTGTTTGCAGTTCTTCCCAGCGCAGGATCCAGGCCAGCATGGGTGTTAAAAATCATTTCCGGAAGAGCCGGTCTGCAGAGAAATTAATACTTGCCCTGAGCTTGGAAATCAACAATCCCAGGAACTGCGCCCGCCGGGGGTTCAGACCTGAACCTCGCCGTCAGGCGCGCTGGCGAACCTGTAGTTCGGGCCTGTAGTTGTGGACTCATGGCCGGGAGGCTGCACTGGGCACCTTGACGGTAACTCCACCACTTTACAAATTTAGGAAGACCTGGTGCTGGTTTGGAGGAAGAAGAGTCGCTAGATCTCGGCCCTGCCGGGCATTCTAGCTACGGTGATCTTAAATATTGCCGTATTTTCTAGTTCTCAGAGTTAGTTTTGTGGACATTTGTCCTTTCTTTAGGAAGGAACATTATAGTAAACATTATGGGCCAATTTAATAGCAAAGTATTTTTACTGATATTGTATTGAAATTTAAATATGAAAACACACCCTTCAAATTCTGCCAATGAGGTGGGAAGGCTTTGTCTATTACATGTCATCTACACAGTGGATGCCACTCAAAGTTTTGGGGCTTCGAGGAGATGTCCAAATTTCAAGTTGATCCATAGACTTAATAAAATCTCTATTTTTGTCCCCAAATTTCCAATTACTGATCTAAACAGGAACAGACCGTGTCATAAACAACTTAATTGCTTGCTTAAATATGTGATTCCACGCATGCCACATATTTTCTTAATTGGAAAAATATGGCAGTACACCAGTTACTGCAGGCACCAAGTGCCAAATCAATTTTATTGTTGAACTCCTTTGAATTGGTATAGAACGCTCTGCCATTGAGATAAAGACGTTTCCTAACACTGAGCTAGCACCAAAGGATTTTTGCTCTAAGAGAACCGAGTACTGGGTGATTGAAAACACTAAAGGAATTGTGTAAATATAGATCCCCACCTCCCCCGCCGCCCCCCCCCCCCGCCCCCAACACACCAAGAAACCGAAACGCCTCGCCCGGGAGAAGCAGCGTAGCCTGGACCTCAGCTTTCGTTGGCTTCCTTCTACCTTGAAAGAGAATGGGAAGTTTTGGCCCCTAAGATCCAAAGATTCAGGGGCTCTGCGGAGTTCGAGGGGTCTTGGCGGCCCCAAACACCTAGGCGACCGGAGGGTTAAGCTTTCCACCTCTGCCCCTTCTCCCTCCCGGCAAACTCTGCGCTAGAGGCTAGCTTTAGTCCCGCCGTCTGGTTCAGCACCCCCTCCTGCAGCCCGGCCCCGCGAACTTCCACGTCCGCCTGCGGGCCATCCGGGCTGCGGGCCCATCCTCCCGCTGGTGAAAAATGCATTTCGGTGGAATGGGAACATCTGGGAAGGGCGCGCACAAACCCCACACGCTTCCCCCCACGCCACCCCCACAACACACTAGGACCCCACCCATGACCGAGCATACCACCGGACCCCCACCCTTCCACTATCACTCTAGCTGACAAAGCTGGGGTCCAGGGCCCTCTCCGTGTCCCTCTCCCCTCCCCGCTGGGCCTCGGAGTCCTCTCCCGCCCGAGAGGAGTCCGGAAGGCGGGAAGGGGAACCGCTGCCGGGGGTCAGTCAGGTCGTTACCCTCCGTCAGTCGCGGGCTGCCCGGCTCCCTGCTTCTCTCGGCGGCGCCCATGTCCAGCTCCCGGACGGGAGAGCGCCCTCCTCCAGCTCCTCCGCCTGCTCCTCCTCCTCCTACACCTCCTCCGCCTCCTCCGCCGCCGCCTCCGCCTCCTCCGCCGCCGCCTCCGCCGGCCGCCCGGACTGCCGGGCTGCTGCGGTCGTCGCGGCCCGCCTCGGTGCAGCCGGTCGGCTCCTTGGCCCCGCGCAGCGGCCCGCTCTCCAGCACCTCCCGGTACGTGATCGCCTCCTTCTTCTCCTTCACTTTCTGGTCAAAAGACTTGGAGACGAACGCCGTAAGTTCTTCCATCGCCGCCGCACGTCAGCCCGGCGCTCAACCTCTGCCAGCAGAGCCCCGCTCTTTTTTTCCTTCTTCTTTTTTTACTGCTCCAGCCCCCCCAATAATAACACATCAATGGGACAGGAGGTGGGGGAGGAGAGGGAGGAGGAGAAAGAAGAAGAAAAAGAGGAGAAGAAAGAAGAAAGAGGAGGAGAAGTAGAAGGAGAAAAAGAAGTAAGAAGAGGAGGAGGAGGAAGAAGAGGAAGAGGGGGAGAAGGGTGAAGAGGAGAGGGAGGAGGAGGAGGAGAAGAGAAGGGGCGGGGGCTGCCGGAGGGAAATGGGAACTGATGCTTCCCTGCCGGAGCGCGCTTGTTCAATGTTAAGATCTTTGACAATTCTTCCTGCGGAGAGTTCAGATCTGATAGCGACGCTGCGCTTGAAGTCCCACTATTTATACTTCCTAACGGCGGCCTCTTGTTTTGAGTAAATTACCTCCCCTCGCAACTCGGAGTGAGCCCCCTTCCCGGGTAGCAGTCGCGCCTCTACCGGGGGTTGGGGAGGGGAAAAGGAGAGAAACAGAGAGAGAGAGAGAGAGAGAGAGAGAGAGAGAGAGAGAGAGAGAGAGAAGAGGAGAGAGAGAGATTGGAGTTCGGGCGGGCTGGGGCTGGAGTGGTAGGGCAGCACAGGGGGACCGGAGGGGGCGGGGAGAGAAGGCCGGTCCCCGGCCGCTCAGGTTTTCAGATAGCCCCTGCCGCCTGTGCTCTTGGCCATTAATCCAGGATTGACAAGAATCCCTAATTAATTTAATTAGGCGTGGATTTTGCGTTGGTGTCACGACTTAGTTAAACACTGGGGAGCTGGATAGACCCCGCGGGGTGGGGCCAAGAGGAAACTGACAAGTGCGCAGCTCTTAGAGTCAGTCAGGTATCCCGACACTGCATCCTTCCCTACAGCCTTGCTTCGAGTCAGGGTGCCTCGCAATGCTCAGCTTCGCATTGCTTTTCCTCGTCCCTGCCCTGCATCAACCGCCCAGCAGTTTACAGGCCCCGCATCCCATTCCCGCATCCTGACCCCGCATCCCAATTCTGCATCCCCGCCTCTCCCTCACAATCCCACCCCTGCCGGCCGTAGCTCCACCGCCCAGCATCATCCTGCCCAGAGACAGGGTTGCCTGCACCTTCTCCGACCCGCGCAGCTTCTCTTAGGAGCTTCCCGGCTCGCAGGCAGGCTGAGTCCGGGTCTTCTCCAAGCTCCTCGCCCCTCGGTCCGTGTTATTCGCTCTATTATTCGTGTCCTGGAGCCCAGCTGACTCCTCTATGGACAGACCCCGCTAAAAGGGACCAGTCGATTTAACAAGTTTCCCCAGCAGCTGTTAGCTGACAGATCTCATTTTAAAGTGTTTCCTTAGCGCCCGGTCAAGGACAGCTCGACTTCGTTCGTTTCCTCTCTGAGGTCTCAGAACTCCCACCCTTCTCCCTTACTCTCTGCACTCGGACCCCTCTATGGTGAATTACAGGACTTCTTCTTTAGCATCTTGGGAAACATCCGAGTTTATTTACTAATTTGAAAAACAAGAGATTATCCCTCTTCGAGTCTGAAAAAAAAATCGACGTTAAGTTTGTACCCCCTCTAATTTCATTTATTACGGAGAGCTAAAAAAGAGACGCTCGCCAGGAGTAAAGGTCTCTCTGCCTACCCCCCCCACCACCCCGCTTACGATTTAAAATTCTATTTCTGGGCTATTTTCATCGGAACGGTTTGTTACGTTAGAGGAACATCTATATTCCTGAGTCATTTGTCTGTATTGTGCCGGACAGGGCTTGCTGTGAGAAGTGTGGCTATGCAAATACATACTCACAAAAGAATATTTACATATGATGTTATATTTAAGTGTGTAAACAAATATACCTCTAAGTGTGGCTTAGGGGACATTTTCAAGTACTCTGAATATTAATGCAGACTTTCTGGAAGTTAAAGGTAACTTGATCATTATTTTGGATCTAATACTCTTAGTAAAAATAAGAGGAATTACAGAACATTAATATGTATATCTTCCGTATATTGGTTAAGGCATCAAAACAAATTAGCAGATAATTTAAGAAGTTCCGTCAAAACAACCTGAAACACTTGCAAAAAGAGAACACAATTATAACTTAATATATTAGTGTTTCTCAAATAGATGTAGATAGAAGCTGGATATAACCTTATGTTATACTACAATACTCACATTAAAATGTTCATGTTTGGTGAGTTTAAGGATTATGTATATCATGCTTTTTAGAAACGTTGTTTTCCCTTTTTAAAACATTTCATTTTTTGCCACTTTTAGGAGAGCTAATGTCTATAATTTTTCCGCAGCTATAGCTTTTAGGTATGAATACATTGTTATCAGTACTTGCTTTTGTTTTGTTACACCACAAAAGGGACAAAGTTTCAAAGTTATACGAATTTAGAAACAATTTCACATTGAGTCTTGGGTTACTCTTTGTAACTACTTTCTGATATTATCAGAGGAAAATAATCATACAACTTTAGTCCTTTATGAAAATCTGTTTTTAAGATTATTTAGCAGAAGGGCCAGTAATAGGGAGAGCTAAGAGGATACGGTGCTCAAGGTGCTCTCAAACTGAGGTGTTAAATACATATTCACAAATAACTCAAAAATAACCACTGTTAGAAGTCGGTTAAGGAATCAGGAGACCCACCAGCTACTTGTTTGCCTTTTTAAGTACATGACTTTTAGGTTTGAAGTCATATTTCATCTACTGAGCTTGAGGGAAAGATGACCACTTTGAAGGTAATCAGGGAAGTCACAGACACAACTATTGTGTAATTCAAACCAATAAATTTTCCCATGATCTCAGCTTTTTGGCTCATTGCATATTTAGGAATAGTAGTGTTGATAACAGATGGAGCCATGAGAAATCTTTAGTGTCTGACCACAGATTTCCACTGGCCTAAGGGAAGTTACTTTAAAAAATATTTCAAGGTTTTAAATTCATACATTAATAAATGCTCACAAAGTTCCAATGATGTTGTTTCATTAAACAGCAAATATCTTCCAGAAACAGGGCATTTCAAAATACAGTTTTTGTTTAAAAAAAAAAAAAAGCATTTATGGTAAAGCTCAGCTGACAGTCTGTGGACAGATGCACAGGTTCCAATAAAATTCAGGACCCCAAGGGTTTCCCCAGCTCTTGAATTATTTAAAATATACACGTAGTGTTGTAGTAGTTAAGTTTTAAAACGGTGCCTCAAAACTGGCTAGTTAAGGTACATTATTTACGAAAAATATATTGTGGAGGTGATTTTTCACCATCTCAAATGTCTGCGGAAAACTGTAGCTTGGTTATCTAGCAGTGGTGAATGAGTTGATTCTCATAGTCGACCAAAACCCAGGCCAACAATTTATTTATCTTTTTAGCTTTGCTTAAGAGTAAATGAGGAAAAAATTTCCATGTAAGGAAAAATAAGTAATGTAGTATGAATTACAGAAAATGCTGAGTCTCTTTAATTTCTATTGGTTTAAATAAAAAAACTCCACACACCTATAAATTTGAGTTCTCTTTCAGAAGAAACCGCTCCCCGCCTCGCCTCAGGCAGCTCTCTCCTATTCCTCTACTAACCAGTTACTTTAATCTGAGAAACTAATTTGCACTCAACTTGTGAGTGCCTTCACCTTCAGGGCAGAAGAAACACCGACTTTTAATGCATTTTTGCAAATAAATCATTACAATTTAATCACACACGACTCTATACAGACACACTCCCATGATTTATTATCGTTGGGCGAGTTTCCCCCTCCCCCAGCGTGAGATAACCAATTTTGTTTCGGGTAGGTGTCATAAACAAAACTTCCTACGATGCAGATTTGTTTACTGATTACCCATGACGATAACGACGACTACTAAGACAATAACACTCTCCAGTCCCACCTTTATTGCTTTTGGTAACAATAAAATCAAAATAAACAGGCACGCAAAACAAACGCCAAACAAAAAATCGGCCGCGTTACAATCTACTCCCTCGGCATTCCCAGCGCCTGGCAGCGTCCATCGATGCACTCGATATCTCGGCTGAAGCTGCCTGGCGCTAGAACCAGGAAGGCGCTGAGCTTAAACTGAAGCAAGTTCGGTGGACGCCGGCGGCGCCCTGATCTAAAGAAACGACTCAGGGACTGCGGCGCTTGCACGTCAACGGGAGGTGTGAGCCCAAAGGTCTGGACCCAGGTGATGCCCACGACCAGGGCCTGGGGAGCGGCAGCCGTGGCTGCGGAGCTCCGAGGCCCTGATCCGGCGAGAGGCGACGCGGGGCCTGGCGCAGTTTGCGGCTCAGTGTCTGTGGAGGGTGGGCTGCGGCCTCGGGGCGTGCGCAGTGTCACCGTGCGCATGCGTCCCGCACCTGGGAGGCTCCGGACTCCTTGGGTCAAGGCTGGTGGCTGTAGGGTGGGTGGGTGGCCGCAGGCCTCAAGCTTGGCCTTCTGTCTTGAGGACATGTCGGAGAGTTCGCCGACTCCTCCCCTCGCCCCACGTTCCTGGTTCTTCATAGCTGCTTTTGGGTTTCCTGGCTCATCTTGCAATATAAGCCTGGCGCTTCCTCACTAGCTCTAGGTAGGGTGGAGCAAGAGGGAGGCTGGATTCTGGTGCCCTCTATCCCATCCACTCCACTGTCCCTGCCTTAGATCCAGCTCTCTTTCTGATTCCGCCCTACCCTTTCTGGCTCACACTGGCTTGCTGAGAGAAGTGGTGCAGGGTGAAATAGATGTTCCTCTCTTGAAATATAAATATGCTCGCCTTAAACACACTATATATTCCTTTGACTTCTGTACTGGTGGCATGTGACCAAGAGCATATGGCTCTGTTTACTTTTGCAAGATGTTACAATGCACCGTAAGGCATGTTGCCTGCTCTTGATTTTAGGTTAACCTTGACGTAATTTCTCTCTCAGAGGTTGTGTATCTTTAAATGCACACTGGAAACCTAAACAAAAAAATATTTTTTTACACTTTCAGAATTAGCAGTAACCCAATTGTGTTCCAGCTAACTAGGTAGTAGATAAATAAATTCAAATGTCTTATGTTGTCACAAGAAAGCATTCGAGTTGTCATCTTTGAACTTAGATGTATTATAAAAGTTCTAAGTGAAGGAGGTAAGCAGAGTTCCCAGGTTTAAGATTTGGAGCAGGTGTGACAGTTGCAACCTTGGGGGAAACTAGGTATCCTTTAAGAGCCTCTCTAGTCTTAGAGTTTATAAATATTCACTTTCTTTGCAGGCAAAGATTTCATGCTAAGTGATATAACACTTTATGTTTTTCAATAAGAGGGCTAAAAATGTCAGAATCTGAAACGACAAAAACAGCTGGCACCTTCTGTTAATTGGCCTTGCCAACTCAACCAGTCTCACAAAGAGGGGTGTTATGAATTGGAAAAGTTCTGAAAGCGGGTTGTTTATAGTAGATCTATAGTTGTATTTCCTGCTTTCATGTTCAAACCATTGGGGATAAATTCCTATGATTGATCATGCTTTTTTAAAAAGAGAGATGCTTGCAAGTTTTTAATTGTGATGGGAGAAGTGTTTTGACAGAATTCTTTATCTCTTTTGAGATAAAGAGTTGTGTACTTGTTTATGGATTTCTTAATATGTTAGTTTTCACCCCAGTTTTACTTTTCTTCTTTGAGGTGGATTTCCCATTGAAATAACCATTGTTTTCACTTTTTCTGGCCATGTGTCCAGAATCAAGAAAATTATAGTTTGATATACTGAGTGAGTAGTGGAGAAGTAATTATAAGCTATCATGTCCTTTGGAAATCTTTGTTCTTCAAACTGATTGCCTGTTTTCTGAAAGAGATAACTGCTTCTTGTACCCTTATCAATAACTGGACAAAGGAACTACTTGTGTAGTCCTTTGAGTTCTCTTTTCTTGAATGACCACATGTTGGCTTTACCTCTTCAATCAGGCACGTGAACTTTACATTAAGATATTTCTGTAAATTGATCTCCTCCTGTAGTCATTACATGCCATGGCTTCAGTTCTGTAGTGGGAGTTGTTGGGTGAGTTTTGCAACCACGAGGCTACAACCAGGAAGAACTAGAGTGAGAACAGGAAACCAAGAGCTATAGGAGCTCTGTCCCATGTTGTCTCTTTCACCTACAGATAGATTGAAAATTGTCAGCTTGTAGGACTCTAAAAGCCTGTGCTCCATTCATCATTCATTGCCCTTATCAGAAAGAACTATCAATGTGTCTTTCCATTCATTGCACCTTACTGGTGGAGTTAAGTATAAAGAATTCTTCCTTACTAGGACTATGTAATATAAATTGATTACCATGTCTTGAATTGGCAAGTATATTTAATTACATGCTGATGATATTATGGAAATCCAGGGGTAAGTTTATGTCTGTGGTGGTGAGTAGGACTTCAGTACCTGTCATTTATAGAGAAGACAATTTTGGGATCTACTTTGTGATTTGCTGTTAGTATTCACTCCCTTTTGTGAATAAATGTTTGAAGTTAACTATAACAAAGAAATATGGTGACCTTTTGCTTTCTTTTATTGGGATTAATTATATTTCAGTGTAATTTTTCTGAAATGTAAATGTGTCACTTGAAATATTTATAGTTTTGTCACACTGGTTTTTCAAACTTTTCTTGGTTTCTCTAAGGAAGGATTTATTTTAAGTTCTGGGGTACATGTGCAGGATGTGGAGGTTTATTACATAAGTAAACATGTGCCATGGTGGTTTACTGCACCTAAATATTAAGCCCAGCATGCGTTATCTATTTTTCCTGATGCTCTCCCTTCCCCCATGCCCCCACCTCAGGCCCCATTGTGTGTTGTTCCCCTCCCAGGTCCATGTGTTCTCAATATTCAGCTCCCACTTATGAGTGAGAATATGCGGTGTTTGGTTTTCTCTTCCTGCGTTAGTTTGATGAGTATAATGGCTTCCAGCTCCATCCATGTCCGTGCAAATGATGATCTCATTCTTTTTTTGTGGCTCCATAATATTCTGTGATGTATATGTACCACATTTTCTTTATTCAGTCTATCATTGATGGGCATTTAGTTTGATTTTGTGTCTTTGCTATTGTGAATAATGCTGCAGTGAACATAAACGTGCATGTGTCTTTATAACAGAATGATTTCTATTCCTTTGGATATATACCCAGTAATGGGATTGCTGGGTCAAATGGTATTTCTGGTTCTAGGTCTTTGGGGAATCACCACACTGCTGATTCCTCAAAGTATCACCCGTTCTGGACAATGCCTGTGACATCATCTTCCACAATGGTTGAACTAATTTACATTCTCACCAACAGTTTATTAATAAAAGTGTTCCTGTCTCTCCACAGCCTTGCCAGCATCTGTTGTTTTTTGACTTTTTTTTTTTTTTTGAGACGGGAGTCTCACTCTGTCACCAGGCTGGAGTGCAGTGGTGCGATCTCGGCTTACTGCAACCTCTGACTCCCTGGTTCAAGCAACTCTCCTGCCTCAGCCTCCTGAGTAGCTGGGATTACAGGCACGCTTCACCACGCCCAGCTAATTTTTGTATTTTTAATAGAAACAGGGTTTCACCATGCTGGCCAGGATGGTCTCCATCTCCTGACCTCGTGATCCACCCCCCTCAGCCTCCCAAAGTACTAGGATTACAGGTGTGAGCCACTGTGCCAGGCCATTTCTTGACTTCTTAATAATTGCATTCTGACTGGCATGAGATGATATCTCATTGTAGTTTTGATTTGCATTTCTCTAATGATCAGTGATGTTGAGTTTTTTCTCATATGTTTGTTGGCTGCATAAATGACTTCTTTTGAGAAGTGTCTGTTCATGTTCTTTGCCCATTTTTTAATGGGATTCCTTTTTTTTTCTTGCAAATTTGTTTAACTTCCTTATAGACTCTGGATATTAGACCTTTGTCAGTTGTATAGGTTGCAAAAATTTTCCTCTATAGATTGTCTGTTCGTTCTGATGATAATTTCTTTTGCTGTGCAGAAACTCTTTAGTTTAATTAGATCCCATTTGTAATTTTTGTTTTTGTTGCAATTGCTTTTGACGTTTTTGCCATGAAATCTTTGCCCGTGCCTTTGTCCTGTATGGTATTGCCTAGATTTTCTTCTAAGGTTTTTATAGTTTTGGGTTTTACATTTAAGTCTTTAATCTATCTTGAGTTAATTTTTTGTGTAAGATATAAGGAAGGGGTCCACTTTCAATTTTCTACATATGGCTAGCCAGTTCTCCCAGTACCATTTATTAAATAGGGAGTCCTTTCCTCATTGCTTGTTTTTGTCAGGTTTGTCAAAGAACAGATGGTTGTAGATGTGCGGTCTTATTTCTGAGTTGTCTATTCTGTTCCATTGGTCTATGTGTCTGTCTTTATACTAGTACCATGCTGTTTTGGCTACTGTAGCCTGGTAGTATAGTTTGAAGTCAGGTAGCATGATGCCTCCAGCTTTGTTCTTTTTGCTAAGGATTGTCTTGGCTATATGGGCTCTTTTTTGGTTCCATATGAATTTTGAAATAGTTTTTTTTTCTGATTCTGTGAAGAATGTTAATGGTAGTTTGATGGGAATAGCATTGAATCTTTAGGTCACTTTGGGTGGTATTGCCATTTTCACGATATTGATTCTTCCTATCTGTGAGCATGGAACGTTTTTCCACTTGTTTGTGTCCTCTCTGATTTCCTTGAGCAGTGGTTTGTAGTTCTCCTTGAAGAGGTCCTTCACTTCCCTTGTTAGCTGTATTCCTAGGTATTTTATTCTTTTTATAGCAGTTGTAAATGGGAGTTCATTCATGATTTGGCTCTCTGCTTGTCTGTTGTTAGTGTATAGGAATGCTAGTGATTTTTGCACATTGATTTTGTATCCTGAAACATTACTGAAGTTGCTTGTCAGCTTAATAAGCTTTTGAGCTGAGATGATTAGGTTTTCTAGATATAGGATTATGTCATCTGCAAAGACGATTTGACTTCCTGTCTTCCTATTCGAATACCCTTTGTTTTTTTTCTCTTGCCTGATTGCTGTGGCCAGAGTTTTCAATACTATGTTGAATAGGAGTGGTGAGAGAGGACATCCTTGTCTTGTGCTGGTTTTCAAGAGGAATTCTTCCAGCTTTTTCTCATTCCGTATGATATTGGCTGTGGGTTTGTTGTAAATGGCTCTTGTTATTTTGAGGTATGTTCCAAGGAAGGACTTTTGTTATCTTTCATTAACCTGTGTTAAATGTAATCAACCAGCCTTCTATTATGGATAAATTATGTTGTTTGTAATTAGAACAAATAAAAAATTTATACTCGCCTTCTCCTGTTCTCTCTTTTTGGTCACCCCCAAGACAGATAGATCTGTGTCCCTTCCTTTTTTTCTGCTTGTTTGTGCCTTACTCAGAGATGTAGTATAAAGGACAGAAATAGAGAATGGGAATGACTGTAGGTATCTTAGAGCAGAGGTTCTCAAACATTTTAGTCTTAGGGTCTCTTTACACTCTGAAACATTGTTGAGGACTCCAATAACATTTATTTGGATTATATCTATGAATATTTACCTTATTAATTAAAACGAAATTTTGAAATCTTCATGAATTCATTTAATAACAATAAACCCAAAATATGGTAACATAAATAGTATCTTTGATATGAAAAATAACTGTGTTTTCCAAAACAAACTTAGTGAGAAAAGTGGCCTATTTTCCTTTTTTGCAAATCTCTAATGTCTGGTTTAATAGAAGATGGCTGGATTCTCATATCTGCTTCTTCATTCAATCCACTGAGATAAATTGTTTTGATTGAAGTTTGTGAAGCAAATCTGGCTTTACTCAGATAAGTGTTTTAGTAACCCTTTTCAGGTAATTATGTCTTTCGTATTACACCAAAAATTGATTGTGTTAATTTCTTGAAGTTCTGTTTTAATATGGTTTTTGAAACCATATGGATAACCTTTGGTACTCCATTATGTTAAAATCTATTGGTCTGACTTACACTCTGAGTGGATCTTTACCCACGCATGGTTTTGTGACATTTTGCATTGGCCATTTGGAAAATATTGGCTCACTGAGTTAGGCATATCTTTCTAATGTTAACACCCTTCATTATATATCAAAAATTCATGTTTGTTAATGTCACCGATGATCTCGGAAGTTTTTAAGTATTCAGAAGCTATCATTCTCATGGTGGCAATACAAATTATCTAAAATTCAAATTTTTGCTTGCAAGCTTGAATTTTATCATCAGCAATGAATACTCTTTTCCTTGAAATGGAAGGATCCCTTCATTTTCAAGAAAAGGTTTTCCAGATACTCAAGTCTGCATAATTATAGTGAGTTTTTAAAATAAAATAATGTTTCATAATAAAAGCAGCTAATTCAAGTTGCAATTCAGTTACACAAATGCTTGTTCTTGAAATAACCAGCGTTCTTCAATATATGGCAGAAGTTATGTGTATCTCTCATTTCATAAGAATATTAAAAAGATGTGTATGTACTCGAGTGGAAATTTAGTAAAATTTATGATTTTTACTGCTTTATTGAGGACATTCTTAATTGAAATTGCTTTTTTTTTTAAACTGTGACTGTATGGCAGTGAGGGATACAGTGACTACTAAGTATAATTTGGTGCCTCTGCCTTGATTTGTGCTAAGGTGCCAGCAGTTTTGTCCACTATTACTTTTGCACCATCAGTGCAAAAGTCAGCACAATGAAAAAGGTAAATAATGTTTTAGTGTTACAGTGAATATAGTTTTGACTTCTTGAGTCCCCTGAAAAGTGTTGTAGAGATCCCCAAGGGTCTACAGGCCTCATTTTGAAAATCGCTGGTACTAGAATGTAAGCTTCTATAGGGAAAGGATTTTTTTTTTCTTGTTTATTGATGTATTGCTTATATGCTATCAGTCTGGGATGTCTTTCGTATCTTCAGTATAAGATTACTTATATTTTGAATCTGGGTTGTCTGTTGTGATACTCTTCTTTTCATGGAGCACACTGTCGAGTAACTTCATGAAAAGGGGAGAGTGTGGGGTATAATTTTGAGACCTTACATGTCTGAAAATGTCTTTATTCTAATCTCGTAGCAGAACAGTGATTTGGCTGGATAGAGATTCTAGGTTGAGATTCATTTTCTCAGCATTTTAAAGGCTAGTCTCCGTTGTTTTCTGTGTTGTGAAAACCCATATGCCTTTTATTGTGCTACCCATATTTTTTTATCTTTAGAAATTTCTAGGCTCTTCTGTATATTCCTGGTGTCTAAAGTTTTTATGAGATATACTGGGTATGTCTTTTTAGAAAAATCATTGTCCCAGGGACTTAGGGCAATTCATCTTTCAATTCTGGAACTTTGAAACAAGGACTTATTCTGTCACCCAGACTAGAGTGCAGTAGGGTGATTGCAGCTCACTGCAGCCTGGACCTTCTGGGCTCAGGTGATCCTGCTGCCTCAGCCCCCTCAAGTAGCTGGGACTACAGGTGTGCACCACCATGCTCAGCTGATTTTTTGTAGAGACAGGGGTTTCACCATGTTGCCCAGGCTGGTCTCAAACTCCCTGGGTTCAAGCAATCCACCCACTTCGGCCTGCCAAAGTGCTGATATTACAAATGTGAGCCACCATGCCTGGCCTGGAAATTTAATTTTTGGGTAATTTTTTTTTGTCCCTTTTCTCCTGTTTTTAAAGACAGGATCTCACCCTATCACCCAGGCTGGGGGTGCAGTGGTGGGATTATACCTCACTAGAGCTTTGAACTCCTGGGGTCAAGGTGTCCTCCCATTTCAGCGTTCAGAGTAACTGGGACTACCGGCTTATGCCATTATGCTGAGCTTTTCTATTCTTTTTTTTTTATAGAATGCGTATCTGGTGCATTTTGGACTTCCAGATTGATCCTCTTCTGTTTGTAAAATGTCTGTCTCTTTTTCTTTCTTTCTTTCTTTCTTTCTTTCTTTTTTTGAGTCCTTTAACCTCTTTTCCAACCTTATTGTTTTTGTTGTCTGTTTTTTTGAGGCTGGGTCTCGCTCTGTCTCCCAGGCTGGAATGCAGTGGCACAATGTTGGCTCACTGTAGCCTCGCCCACTTGGGCTCCGGTGATCCTCCTGCCTCAGTCTCCTGAGTAGCTGGTACTACAAGTATGCATCACCACGTCCAGCTAATTTTTGTATTTTTTGTGGAGACCAGTTTTCACCATGTTGGCGGGGCTGGTCTCAAACTCCTGGACTCAAGTGATCTGTTTGCCTTGGCTGCCCAAAGTGCTGGGATTACAGGCGTGAGCCACCGTGCCTGGCCTTAATTTTAAATTTTTTTAGAGACAACATCTTGCTCTGTCACTCAGGCGGGAGTGCAGCGGTGCAGTCATATCTTTTGGACTCAAGGGATCCTCCCACCTCAGCTTCCTGAATAGCTAGTACTAGAGGCATGTGCCACCATGCCTAGCTAAGTACCTGGCCTTCTGTGTGTGTGTGTGTGTGTGTGTGTGTGTGTGTGTGTGTGTGTGTGTGTGCGCGTGCGCGTGGTTTTTTTAAATTGTCCTTTGTTAAAATTTTAAGCTATCTGTCCTATTCTCCAAATGTTCCTCCTAGTCTTGTTTGCTGGATCATCCTGTCATATGCATCTGAGGATATTAGCTGTTATTTTTGTTCTTGAAGTTTTCTTCTGTATGTTCTGGTTTACTATCATTTGCTTTTTTTCTTTCTGTTTTAGTTTCTGTCTTTTATGGTGAAGGCTTTCATCATGTTTGCTTATATTTTGTTGTATATTCAGCAAAAAGTTAACAGAAAAAATGTTTACAGAAAAATGTTATAAATACAGTTGTAACCTGTATTTAAGGTTTGGACTTGTCAACTAGTAGGCTTCATTATAGGGTGATTGGGTGGGGGCCTGCCCTTTTTGGGGGGAACCCTCAAATGCTTATATATCTTTTCTTAGGTGTTGTTCAGTTTTTGCAGATATTCAAGAATCCTCTTGAGGATAGCACACAGAGGGCTATGACTTTTCTATTTGATTATAGACTTTAACTTAACTTAATCTCTTTAACTTTTAGTTTGGCATCTCTGTCTTTTTTTACTGTGTCCTTGGACCTGGTGCTTCTTTGATTCATTTTTCTCCCCAAAATAAACGTTCTCTCCTCTGAGGATTGGGGAAGAGTATCACCTGGCTGGGTAGAATGGAGGGACTCAGGGACACTATTACATAAATTCAATCAATTTTTTTTTTGTTTTTAGCCTCATGGCCTCATTGTGCCTGCTCTGGTATCTGGTGTCTTAAATTCCTGATCCTTTCTGATTTTTGCTATGTGAATTTGCTTTTCTCTTGTTGGAATTCTCTACAGTTGCCTGATAATAAGTTTTCTTAGCTCTAAATTCTCCATGTGTTTTTCACTTGCCAAAAGTTTGTTGACATATCTCATGTTCCTGTTGTTTTCTAGTCTCTATCCTTTCAAATTTATACTTTTTAATTTCTTTAATCTTATTTTGGTATTTTTTAAAACAAGATAGCAAGATAGTAAAAGCTCATCTTAATTTAAATGGTTATTTGTTTGTGAGGAACATTCTTAAATGATTAAAGGTAAAAACAAGAAAGGAATTAAAAGCCAAGAAATGAAATTATTATCATTCAATTGTGTACATATTTCTTAACATGGATATAAGTATATGTGTGTGTGTATAATATACACACATACATATGTGGGTATCTATTTGATATATATAATGGATATATGTATATATTTTATGTATAAATGGATATGGACACATGTGAATTTATATGTATGTACAGATATACCTTATATACATCTGAATTATGTTTGTATTTAAATGTATGTTTGTATTTACATATATATACATGTTGTATATATTTATAATTTCATAGTCTTTTTTTTTTTTTTTTGAGATAGAGTCTCGCTCTGTCACCCAGGCTGGAGTGCAATGGCACTATCTCGGCTCACTGCAACCTCCGCCTCCCAGGTTCAAGCGATTCTCCTGTCTCAGACTACTGAGTAGCTGAGACTACAGGCGCATGCCACCACGCCCAGCTACTTTTTGTGTTTTTAGTAGAGATGGGGTTTCACCATGTTGATCAGGCTGGTCTCGAACTCCTGACCTCAGGATCCGCCCGCCTCGGCCTCCCAAAGTGCTGGGATTACAGGCGTGAGCCACTGCACCTGGCCACTTTCATAGTCATTTTAAAGCTGGAAAGTGTCGTGGTAATCTTTTACCTATTGTAGTTTCATTTTTTAAATGAGGAAACTGGCTTAGATATGTAAGTGATTTACTGAAATCTTCAAAACCAAGTCTTCCCAGTGTTTTGTTAAACTAAAATCTTAGACATGTGAGCAACTTGGACGTTCAGAGCTACATTTAAAATCCTTAATTCTGGCTCTAGGTAAATAGCTTAAAGTTTTGATTTGAGTCCTAAGAGATTTTTTCAACTGGTATTGTATTGGAATCAGGGAGGGGCTGGCTCACCTGATGCTTCTGAAAGCAAAGCAGTAATTTAACATATTATAAGTTGGCACAAAAGTAATTGTGGTTTTTGCCATTACTTTTAATGGAATGTATTAATTATTAAATATATAAATAATATAGAATTAATATATTAATATTAATATATTAAATATACAGTTAATATTAAGTATTATATAGTTAATATTTAATATATAATATATTTAATGTTAAACATACTATACATAATATATATTTAATATATTAAATAGATAATATATATTTTATATATATATAAATATATTCCATTAAAAGTCATGGTAAAAACTGCAATTACTTTTGCACCAACATAATACTTTGTTTATAGTGACGGTATTTAACTTATTTTGAATAAATATTAAAGATGATGTGAGCTTTTATTTATCCTAAGTGATTACAACGAATGGATCTTGTTTTTATATGACTTTGAAAGATAACTAATAACTATTTTAATAAAAAATAGTATTGCATATGAGAATCTAAATTAAAGTAAGACAACTAAGCTTCTTGTCAGCAAAGTTAATTCCTAAATATGAAAGCCTTAGGTTCTATTTGTTTTTTCTGTTGTATACTAAATGTCCGTGTTACCATAACTATATAGAAATAGTTTGAAAAACTATATTTTATATTATGAAAATTATATTGCATCATTTAAATACTAATTTTCATATGTACATATTTTCTTAAATTATCTCAATGGATACCACTATAATAATGCTGTGATGAATATTTTCATGAATATATCCTTTAGAAAAATTTTTTCAGATGTATTTGTAGAAGTAGGATTTCTCTGTCAAAAAAGCATCAACATTTTTAGATTATTATTACTCAATTGTGTACATATTTCTTAATGTGGATATAAATATATATGTTTGTGTGTAATATACACATACAAATGTGGATGTCTGTTATAGATATAATATCTATTATATCTGCTTAATTTATTGTTTTATTGCTTTCTAAAAAGATTATTCTACCACCTTATAGAGATACTAGCAGTGTGTGAAGAGCTGACTGATTTCTCAATAACCTCATCAACTTTAGTACTTTAGTTAATATTGTCTCCCCTGAGTTTCACAAGTGAAATGATGATTATAGTTCATTGTTTCAGTTTGTACTTTGTTGATGACTAATGAGGTTTTAGCTATTTAAAGATGTAGAATTTTCTGTTAGAAAAAAAATTCAACTCTAAGATAGTAAAATATATTTTGTCATTAGGGAATGTGAGAATAAAGGAATAGTTGGTTGATTACTAAAGAAAATGTCATATAATTAATGAGAAATATAACTTAAAATATCAGATAATTGATATAAAGAACTGCTCTCAGTCTTGTCAAGAAGCCAGGCACATAAACAATTTTACTTTGAATAAGACTTTTAAAAATTTTACAAAGTTTTATAAAAAGTAGTACATTGAGGCCAGAAATGGTGGCTCATGCCTGTAGTCCCAGCACTTTGGAAGGCTTGGGGGAAGGATCGCTGGAGCCCAGGACTTCCAGGTTGCAGTGAGCAATGATTGTACCACTACACTCCAGCCTGGGATACAGAGGGAGACCCCATCTCTAAAATAAATAAATAAATGAAATAAAAAATTAATATATTGCATTTCATCCATTGTGCCACCATGTTAGAAATAATATTCTTCAAATTTATGCTTATAGAAATGGGACGTCGGTCATCAGATACTGAAGAAGAAAGCAGAAGCAAGAGAAAAAAGAAACACCGTAGACGGTCCTCCTCGAGCAGTTCTTCAGATAGTAGAACATACAGCCGAAAGAAAGGAGGAAGGAAATCAAGATCAAAGTCAAGATCTTGGTCCAGAGATCTTCAGCCTCGTTCACATTCTTATGATAGAAGGTGATTTTTGTAATTTTTATTTATATAGTAATGAGGATAACATTCTTTAAAATTCATGTTTTTGTATTTTTAATTTTGCTAGATAAAACATTTTTCTTTTACTAGCTATATATTTATGAAAGTCCCAACCCAGAGTTTTTTTGTTCCACCAGGTCCAGTCCGTGGGTCTAGTGTCCTCAACCTTTGTCTGTTCTTAGTAGGCAAATAGATAGAAAGTGGTGTAGTTTCCTTTTTTAATTTAATTTAATTTTTTTTCTAGTGCATTTATTTATTTATTTTTCTAATGAATTATTTTTTATTTTATTATACTTTAAGTTCTAGTACACAACATGCAGGTTTGTTACATATGTATACATGTGCCATGTTGGTGTGCTGCATCTGTTAACTCGTCATTTACATTAGGTGTATCTCCTAATGCTATCCCTCCCCTAGCCCCCCACCCCATGACAGGCCCCAGTGTGTGATGTTCCCCTTCCTGTGTCCAAGAGTTCTCATTGTTCAATTCCCACCTATGAATGAGAACATGCGGTGTTTGGTTTTTTGTCCTTGCGATAGTTTGCTGAGAATGATGGTTTCCAGCTTCATCTATGTGCCTACAAAGGATGTGAACTCATCCTTTTTTATGGCTGCGTAGTATTCCATGGTGTATATGTGCCACATTTTCTTAATCCAGTCTGTCATTGATGGACATTTGAGTTGGTTCCAAGCCTTTGCTATTGTGAACAGTGCTGCAACGGAGTTTTGCTCTTGTTGTCCAGGCTGGAGTACAATGGCGTGATCTCAGCTCACTGCAGCCTCTGCCTCCCAGGTTCAAGCAGTTCTTCTCAGCCTTCCAAGTAGCCGGGATTCCAGGCATGCACCACTATGCCCAGCTAGTTTTGTATTTTTAGTAGAGACAGGGTTTCACCATGTTGGTCAGGCTGGTCTTGAACTCCTGACCTCAGGTGATCTGCCCTCCTCAGCCTCCCAAAATGTTGGGATTACAGGCGTGAGCCACCGTGCCTGGCCTTAATTTTAAATTTTTTTAGAGACAAGATCTTGCTCTGTCACTCAGGCGGGAGTGCAGCGGTGCAGTCATATCTTTTGGACTCAAGGGATCCTCCCACCTCAGCTTCCTGAATAGCTAGTACTAGAGGCATGTGCCACCATGCCTAGCTAAGTTTTTTTATTTTTATTTTTTGTGGAGACTTGGCCTTGCTGTGTTGCCCAAGCTGGTATCGAATTCTTGGCCTCAAGCGATCCTCCTGCCTCGGCCTCCCAACATGTTGGGATTACAGGCATGAGCTACTGAGCCTGGCCTTGGTTTAGTTTTCATACCATATAATCTGATGATATTTGGAAAGATTCTAAGACCCTTAATACCTTAATTAGTACTGATCCAATCACTAAGTTATGAACCAGTCATATGACTGTTCAAGAGAAATAACATTTTAATTTATCTCTGTTTGCTTCCAGGAAACAGTGAGACAGTAAAAATCAGATGATTCTTTAGAATCTAGAAGGTTTTTCCTTAATGCTCATAATAAAAATTTTTATAGCAGTGATCTTTGATTATATTTTATTTCAGACGCAGGCATCGATCAAGCAGTAGCTCTTCTTATGGCTCCAGAAGGAAACGAAGTCGAAGTCGTTCAAGGGGTCGAGGGAAATCCTATAGAGTTCAGAGGTCTAGGTCAAAAAGCAGAACAAGAAGGTATGCCTTATTAAGTATTTATTGCTTTGTAACAAATTATTCCCAAATTCAGCGATGTAAAGCAACAATCATTTATTTTCTTATAATTATATAATTTTGATTGAGCTTAGCTGGCACTTATTTTTTTCTCACCTGGGGTCATTCATGCAGTTAGTCATCTGATAGCTTGATTGGAACTGGATGGTCTAATGTGGCCTCACTCATATATCTTGCATTTGGTTCTGGCTATTGGCCGGGGTGTACGTGGCTTCTCATTGTCCAGTAGGCTAGATTGGGTTTCTTTTTTTCAGCCCGGTGGTGGTAGCACGTGCGTTCCCCAGACATGAGTTTACTAGTATTTTGTTAAGGATTTTTGCGTCAGTATTCATCAGGGACTTATGGCTTGCAGTTTTCTTGTAATATATTTGTCTGGCATTGGTATCAGAGTAATGCTGGCCTGATAAAATGAGTTTGGAAGTACTCCCTCCTTTTCAGTTTTTTTGGAAGATTTTGAAAAGGATTGACATTAATTTCTTTTTAAATGTTTGGTGGAATTCTGCAGTGAAGCTATCTGCTCCTGGGCTTTTCTTTGTTAGAAGGTTTTTGCTTACTGATTCAATCTCCTTGTTAGTTATACGTCTGTTAAGATTTTCTCTTCCTTCATGATTCAGTCTTGGTAGGTGGTATGTTTCTAGGAATTTATCCACTTTTTCTAGGTTATCCAGTTTATTAGCATTCTTAGTAGTCTTTTATAATCCTTTCAATGTTTGTGGCATCAACTGTAATGTCTGCTGTTTCATTTCTGATTTTAGTTATTACGCTTCTGGTATTTTTTCTTTTTCTTTCTTTCTTTTTTTTTTTTTTTGGAGGTGAGGTGTTGCTCTGTCACCTAGGCTTGGGTGTATTGGTGCAGTCAGCTCACTGCAGCCTCAAACTCCTGGGCTCAATGATCTTCTCACCTCAGTCTCCTAAGTGGCTAGAAATACAAGCATACACCACCAGGCCTGGCTGACTTTTTAAAATATGTTTTGTAGAAATCAGTCTTACCATATTGCCCAGGCTAGTCTCCAACTCCTGGTGTCAACTGGTCCTCCCACCTTATCCTTCCAAAGTGCTGGCATTATAGGTATGATCTACCTTGCCCGGCCTCATTTTTTCTTAATCTAACTAAGTACTTGTTAATTTTGTTGTTGTTTTTCAAAAAACTCTTAGTTTTGTTGATTTTTTTCTAAAGTCTTTCTGTTCTCTATTTTATTTATTTTTTTCTCTAATCATTTTTATTTTCTTTCTTTGGATAATTTTTGGTTTAATTTGTTCTTTATTTAGTTCCTTGAAGTATTAAGTATGATATGAGACTTTTCTTTTTTTCTTAAATGTAGGTGTTCATGCTAAAACTTTCCTTTCAGTATTGCTTTTGCTGTTTCTCTTAAGTTTTACTATGTGTGTTTGTGTTTTCATTTGTTTAAAGGTATTTTCTAATTTCTCTTATGATTTCTTCTTTGGTGTATTTGGTTGTTCAAGAGTGTGTAGTTTAATTTCTACATATTTGTGGATTTTCTGATTTTTCTACTGCTATTGATGTCTAGTTTCATTTCTTTGTGTTTCGAAAAGATACTTGCTATGATTTCGGTCTTATTAAATTTGTTAAGACTTGTTTTGTGGCCTAACATGAAATCTGTCGTGGAGAATGTTCCATGTACACTTGAGAAGAATGCATATTTTGCTGCTGTTGTGTGGAGTGTTCTGTGTATTTATGTTAGGTCTAATTCATCTGTAGTGTTGTTCAGGTCCTCTTATGTCTTATTTTTCTGTCCATTATTGAAAGTGGATTATTGAAATACCCTACTATTACTATGTTACTAAATACTTCTCCCTTCCATTCTGGCAATGTTTACTTTATATATTTGAGTGCTCTGGTGTTAGGTGCATATATATATAATTGTTATATATTCCAGAATAATGACCCATTTATCATTATATAATTTTCTTTTTTTCTTGTGACAGTCTTTGACTTAAAGTCTATTTTGTCTTGTGTAAGTATGGCCACTTCTGCTCTTTTTTTGTACCATTTGTATGGATTATCTTTTTCATCTTTTTCAGTATATGTGTGTCTTTACATCTAAGGCACATCTTTTGTAAACAGCATATACTGTAATTGTATTTTGTGTGTATGAGTGTGTGTTTTGAAAAATTCATTCAGCTACTTTTGTGTGTTTTGTTTGGGGAGTTTAATCCAGTTACATTTACAATAATTACTGATGGGGAAGGACTTACTGTTGCCATTTTGTTGATTGTTTTCTGCCTTATAGCTATTTTGTCTCTCATGTCTCCTGCTGCCTTCCTTTTTGTTTTGTTGATTTTTGTATTGACATGCTATGATTTTTTTTCTGATTTTATTTTGTATATGTTCTATAGGTATTTTCTTTGTGGTTGCCATGAGGCTTACACAAAACATTGTCTTTTAAGTTGGTAATAACCTTTGACTTTATACAAAAATACTGCTCTTGTATGTTTCTCCACTTCTATTTTATGTTATTGATATCACAGTTTACATCTTATTGTATCCATTAATATAGCTTATAGTTAGTTATTTTTTATACTGTCATCTTTTCAATTCTATATCTGAATTAAAAATGTTTTACATACCACCATTACAGTGTTAGTGTACTCTGTACTTGTGTATATATTTACCTTTACCAGTGAGCTTTATGTTTTCATGTACTTTTGTGTTGCTGTCTAGTGTCATTTCATTTCCACTTGCAGGACTCCTCTTAGTATTTCTTGTAAGGCAGGTCTGGTAGTGAAGAACTCCCTTAGCTTTTGTTTATCTGGGAAAGATTTGATTTGTCTTTTGTTCTTGTAGAACAATTTTGCTTGATATAGTGTTCTTGATTGACAGGGTTTTTTTTGTTTTTGTTTTTGTTTTTGTTTTTGTTTTTGTTTTTGTTTTTTGCTTTCAGCACTTTGAATATATCACCTGATTCCTTTCTGGCTTGTAATGTTTCCTCTGCAAAATTGCTGAAATCTTATGAAAGCTCCCTTGTGTATGACGATTTACTTTTCTCTTGCTGCTTTCAAGATTCTCTCTTTGCCTTTAACTTTTGTTAATTAGATTATAATGTGTCTATGTGGGCCTCTTTTACTTCACTCTTGAAGTGAAAGGATGAAGTCTTTTGAACTTCTTAAATTTGGGTGCCTATTTGTTTTCTCAGATTTGGGAATTTTTTAGCCATTATGTCTTCAAATAAGCTCTCTGTTCATTTCTGTTTCTTCTTCTTAACTCCACAGTAAACTCTCTGTTTCTTTCTCTATCTTCTTCTATAACTCCATAATACGTATATTGGTCTGTTTAATGATGTCTTATAGTCCCTTAGGCTTCCTTCACTTTTCTTTATTCTTTTTCTTGTTTGCTTCCCTGACTCAATAATTTTGAATTGACCTTTCTTTGTGTTTTCTGATTTTATTCTTCTGCTTGACTGCGTTTGCTACTGAACCTCTCTAGTGAATTTTTCAATTCAGCTATTGTATTCTTTGGCATTAGCATTTTTGCTTTTTTTTTATGTAATTTCTCTTTGTTGATAGTCTTGATTTTGTTTATACTTTGTTCTCTTGACTTCATTTAGTTGTGCATCTGTGTTCTTTTTTGGATCATTGAGCTTTAAGACAACTGTTTTTATTTCTTTGTCAGGTAATTTACAGATCTCAGTTTCTTTGAGGTGGTTTCTGGCAATTTATTTGGTTCCTTTGATTGGGCTAGGTTTCCTTCTTTCTTTGACTGCTTTGTGGTTTTTTTTTTTTTTTTTTTTGGCTGAGTTTTTATGCAATTTTAAAAAACAGCTGCCTTTCCTAGTCTTTATGGACTGGCTTCTTATGGGGAAAGTCCTTCACCAACCAGCTTTTTTCAATATATGCCAGCTTCCTCATCAGCACCATTTAGCAGGTGAGAGATATCATTCCCTCTGGCACCTCTCCAAAATGCTGGAATATTTGAAGCATGTACTTCACTCTTCTCTCTCACTTCTGACGAAGAAACAAGTTGGATGTCTTTTCTCAATGGTGCTGAGTCATCCCAGTCTCTGTCTTTGGTACTGCTGGCCCTCTGGTGCCATAGCAATCTGTTTCTGTTCTCTTTTGCTTTTGTTGGCACCCAGAAATCTAACCTGTGCTGTTTCCATTAGTGCTCCAGGCAAGACAGAAACCCATCCCTTGGGTGGCCCTCAGAAAAGTCAGAATGTTGGACTTACATTCCATGCTTCTCTTTTCCCCAGTCCGTTACCCTAAAAGCCATGAGCTGAATGGAGATTTGCTGGCCTTAGGGACAGGTAAAGTAAAATGGTTCTTAATTATTTCAGTGAGGTTGTACTTGGCTTTGCGCTTGCCCGGAGTACTGCAACTTCTTAACTGTTTTTTGAAGTTCCATATAGGTATTTTGGTTTGTATATTGTTTTATCAGTGTCTTTCTTGGGGGAATGAGGGCTGGGATTTCCTATACTGCCATCTTGCCATCATCATTCTCAAGTTAACTTTTTTTGTTTCTTACAGGCTCTTTCTAACCTTTATTTTAAACTAATTTTAGACTAACAGAAAAGCTGTAAAAAATAATACAGAATTTCCTTATACCCCTCATATCACCTCACCTGGTACAGTAATCGAAAGCAGGACATTAACATTGATACAGTTCTAGTAACTAGATTATAAATCTTATCAGTTTTCTCATAACGTTCTTTTTCTGCTCCAGGATCCAATCCAGGATTCTATATTGCATTTAGTTGTTAATCTCTTCTTAGTCTCCTCCAGTCTACGAGAGTTCCTCATCCAAAGATGAGTCTGTGCTTGTCTTTCATGACTTTGGCACTTTTGAGGAATAATGGTGTTTATTTTGTAGATTGCCCCTCAGCCTGAGTTTGTGTGATGTTTTCTCGTGATTAGAGTGAGCTATGCATTTTTGGCAAGAATACGAGAGAAATGACATTGTGTACTTTTTATTGCATCATATCAAGGGGTCTGTGATACTGCTATGTCATAGTGGTGTTAACCTTGATCGTGTAGTTAAGGTGCCAGGTTTCGCCTGTGAAGTTACTATCTTTCCTTTTGTAGTTGATAGATATCTTGGGAGAGATATTTTCTAACTATAAGTATTCTGCGCATCTCCTCAACCTTTCACTTACTAACTTTAGCATCTCTCAGTGGTTTTTTTCTGTAGCAGTTACTTTGGGGTTTGCCTGATGATTCAAATTAATTTTTGTGTATCATATGAGATAGGGGGTTAGGTTCAATTATTTTCTTCATACGGAGATCTAGGAACATTTCTTTCTTTCTTTTTTTTTTTTTTTTTTTTTTTGAGACTGAGTCTCTATTGCCGAGACTAGAGTATAGTGACGCAATTCTCATCTCACTGCAACCTCTGCCTCCTGGGTTCAAGTGATTCTCGTGCCTCAGCCTCCCGGGTAGCTGGGATTACAGGTGCCCACCACCACGTCCAGCTAATTTTTGTAATTTTTGGAGAGATGGGGTTTCACCATGTTGGCCAGGCTGGTCTTGAACTCCTGACCTCAAGTGATCCGCCCGCCTTGGCCTCCCAGAGTGCTGGGATTACAAGCATAAGCCACCGCGCCTGGCCAGTCTAGCCCTATTTTCTTACTGAGTAGTCTTGGTACCTCTGTCGAAAACCAGCTAACTATACGAATGTGACTCTATTTCTGGATTGTTTATTTGGTTCCATTCCTTTGTCTGTTTTTATACTAGTCTTAGACAATTTTGATTACTTTGGTTCTATAGTAAGTCTTAAAGTTAGGTGTTATTGTTTACATTTTCATATAAATTTTAGAATCAACTTGACAATTTTGTCAAAAGCTTGCTGGGACTTTGATTGGATGTTTATTGAATCAGTAGAATAGGAGTATTGACATCATAGAATGTTTTATTTTATGAACATGTTGTATCTCTCCATTTATTTTGCTTTTCTTTAGTTTCTCCAAACAATGTTATGTAGTTTTCATTATAGTGGTTTTACACAGTTAGGGCAGCTGTGACAAGATACTGTGTGACTTAAACAACATAAATACATTTCTTACAGTTCTGGTGCCTGGGAGGTTAGAGATCAGGGTGACAGCATGGTCTAGTTCTGGTGAGGGCCCTCTTTTAGGTTGACAGATGGCTGTCTTCTTCTTGTGTCCCATGTTACATTTTGGAGATCATAGAGAGGAAGCAAATTCTCTCTTGTCTCTTCTTAGAAGGCCATGAATCCTGTCATGAGGGCTCCACTCTCATGACCTAATTACCTCCCACCAGACCCATCTTCAGATACTATCACATTGGTCATTAGGGTTTCAGCATATGAATTTTTGAGGACACAAACATTCAGTCTATAGCATACATATTTTGTTAAATTTATTTCCACACTTTTTGACACTATTGAAAATGGAATTATTTTAACATTTTATTTTCCATTTATTTGTTGAGTACAGGTTGAATATTCCTTATCTGAAATACTTGGGACCTAAAGTGTTTTGGATTTTGGATTTTTTCAGATTTTGTAATATTTACATATACATAATGAGATATCTTGGGGATAACACCCAAGTCTAAACACAAAATTTATGTTTCATGTATACCTTATACATGTAGCCTGAATAATTTTAAGTAGTATTTTAAATTATTTTGTGTATGAAACAAAGTTTGTGTATATTAAACCATCAGAAAGCAAAGGTCTCAGATATGGGATTTTCCACTTGTGGCATCATTCTGGCACTCAGAAAGTTTCAGAGTTTGGAGTATTTTGGATTTTTGGATTAGTGTATGTAGAAATATAAGTAATTTTGTACATGTTGTATATGTTTTGTACCTTTTATATTTTACATATTTTTGTATGTTTAGTTTGTATCCTGTAACCTTTCCACTCTTATTAGCTCTAGCAGATATTCTGAAGATAGCTTAAGATTTTCCATGAAAACAATTAATTACCTGAAAACTGAGTTTTACATCTTTTTAGAATTGTTTGCTATTTCTGTAGTTTTCTCGGCTCATTGCAGTGTCTAGGATCTACTTCTATGCTGAAGAAAAGTGATGAACGTGGGCAAACTTGCCTTTTTTCCTATCTTAGGAGGAAAGTATTCAGTCTTTGGCGTTAATTTTTTAAATTTTTTTATTTTTGTCTTTAATAATTTTTTGTTTATATATATATTTTTATTATACTTTAAGTTCTAGGGTACATGTGCTTTTAAATATATATTAACTAAGTTTCTTGTGGTTGCCTTTTATAAGACTGAAGAAGAACACCACCATATTTCTTATTTGCTGGGAATTTGTTAGTACCAATCACTGCTGGTTTTTGTTAAAAGCTTTTTCTTTATCTAGTGGGATGATTATGGTTTATTTTTGAATACATTTTCGTCTTTTTTTGGTTGTCACTTATCTCTTGATTTTTTTGTCTGACTTTGTTAGTCATTTCTATGTACTGAAGACCCCATGGTCAGCGTGATTTTTGTTTTATTGCCTAATGTGGAATTGAAATAATGTGGATATGTTCATTTTGTACCATACCCAAAACACCCATTGTGTGTGGGTAGCATTGAGGGATTTGAAGTGACAGATGTACTCATGAACTTGGTACTCCCAAAATATTTCCTGTTGCTGTTCACTCTCCGGGTTCTTTTGCATGAATATTTTTTCTTTCATAGTGGTATACTTTGCTTTTGATTCAAGATGTCAAATTGAAGACATTTTGTGAATGTGACATGAGGTAATTGTTGCCTCATGATTTCTTGAAACTGTACACCTGTAGACTACAAGTGTAAAGGGTGTTAGGGAAGAGATCAATTATTGTATATTAGAGAAAATTAGGAAAATTTTTGTTAATAATGTATTAGAACAAGTAACAAATATTTATTAATTTGAAAAAGTAATATAATTTTAGAAAATGCATTTATCTAGTAAAATAATATACTGAACGTACGTTGCACACTGTAAAGGCCAGCATAAATGCTATTGTTTTCTTTAGAAGTCATTTTATTATATTTTATTTATTCATTTGAGACAGAGTGTTGCTCTGTCACCTGGGCTGGAGTGCAGTGGTGCAATCTTGGCTCACTGTAGCCTTTACCTCCTTCACTCAAGGTATCCTCCTACCTCAACCTCCTGGGTAGCTGGGACTACAGGTACACACCGCCACACCCAACTATGATTTTTGTATTTTTGGCGGAGATGGGGTTTCACCATGTTGCCCAGGCTGGTCTCAAATTCCTGAGCTCAAGCGATCCCCCTGCCTTGGCCTCACTAAGTGCAGGGATTACAGGTATGTGCCACCCTACCCAGATCATTTAAATTATTATTTCTTTGTATTACATACTAGAACATACTTGTGAATTTACTTCTAATTTATCATATTTTAGTAGTTTAACAGACTTTTAAAAAAGGCTTAATTATCATTTCTCCATGCTTTTATCTGAGGAACAAAGGACAGCGTGTCTGATGATATTTTTCTGGTACCCTTTTCTCGATTATTGGGTAGAAAGATTGGACTACATTTTAACATTGTAGTACTCTTTATGTTATTTCTTCAACTTGAAAAATGCTGAGTTTTTTGAACTTAAAAATTAGGTTAGTCTCTTTAAAATTGCAAGATTGCTATTCCATTCATGTGACAGTGACCACATGATCCCTATTCACATAACATCTAAGTAGTAAATGTCTGAGAATCACAATTAATTTTATACTGGATGAGCTATCCTTTCCTTGTTTTTGTAGTTTTTCCTTTTCTCAAATATTACCCTCATTGTATTGCACTATTAAATTTTACAGCTGTTTTCTAATCAATGAACAAAGTCAGATCCCCTTCAGAATTCATTTATTTGTAATCCTTCAATTTGTCCATGAACAGGAATAAATCTTTGGCAACTCTATTAGAAAATGATTAAGTATGCCCAGTACGTTGGGATCAGCCTAGAAATAGACTTAAATGTAGTTTTGTTCTTGGAAATCCTCTAGTTTTGAGATGAGTGTAGAGTTCGACTTCTGGAATAAACGGATATCTGGAAACTAGAAGATGAAGTAAGAAGAGAATTTCTTTAAGGAAAATATGAATGTTACATTTATTCTAACTCATTTTATTTTTATTGTGAATGTATTGAATGTCCCTTTCATATCCAAATGTAATATGAAAAACTAATTTATTGTTTAAAGTTTAAACTATGCATGAAACAGTTATTGAATTTTAAATTGGGGATCACTTTAATGAAAACATTTTAATATCTAATTATGAAAATTATAGAAATGATCCAGTTGATTTTCTATTTTTATTTTATTCTTTTATTAACCTATTGATCTTTATTTTGTCTTGTATCTGAAAATGAGAACAAAATATGTGCTTAGAGAGCAATTATTTATTTTATTGAGGACATATCTTAAAAGTCAAGAAGTGAAGCTGCTTGGTAATGCTATAAATTTAAAACTGTCCTACAGCAAGACAGTACGATGCAAATATGACTAAATAAGATCACAAACTGAATTTCAGTGAAACAACCAAGATTTACATTAAATTAGGAATTTTAAAACCAATTTAGTTTGTTTTACTGAGCATTTGCTTAATAACATTTTGCCTTCTTGCAATCTTTTTAAAGACAATAATTCGTCTGTGAAATGCAGGCATATCTTCAGTAGAAAAATTGAAAGCAACAGCTCACTTTCTGAAACCACACATATGGCGATATAAAGAAATATTTCAGCTCTACAAAATTTAATAAATCATCCCATTTCCTAATTTGATCATATTAGATGCTGATGTGGAAGAAGCATTTCAAATACCATCTTCTCATTAATATACATCAGTCTGGGGAATAGAATGGAATACTTATGCAGAGATGTCACAGTTACTGTTTCTTAGTTTACTAAGTGGAACAGGTTGAAGTGATTCTGGGTGCTATTTGTCAATGTCTTGTTAAAATGGTTTGGGTCGAGTTATGGAGTCCAGAAAGACGGCGGCTGATAAATCAAAAGTGGATTGAGTGGACAGGAGGCAGTGATTGATACTGTGACAGGATATGAAGAAAGGAACCTTGATACAAGCATGCATGATATTGAATATGAGAAAGAAAATGGCCCTGGAGTATGGATATTATTCAAGGAAATGAGAATAATAATATCAGCCTGAAAATATTGCTGAGTGAAGATTAGGATAGTTCTTATTAGAGCATAATACTTTACTAGGATGGTAGGGATGAAATTATGTAAATATTTGTGTGAGAAGAATATTTTAACCTATGACTGAAGACTCTTTAATGATTATTTATTCTTTACAGTAGTTTTAGCTTCATTTTTTCCTAGCTAATTATTATACCGTGTATTTATAAGCATCCTAACTAGTAAATTAAAAATTTTTTTCTTTTAGATTATTTCAAAGATCATCTACCTTTACAACATGCTTTTATAGAATAATAGTATTCAGAGATTAAACTTGTTGTGTAAATAGTATTTTACTATCAGTTGGTTTTGACTTAGAAAATTGCATTGTTAACTTGAAGTGAAAATCTGCATTGCATAGTTTGCAGCATCCTTTAGATTAGTCATTTTGAATAGCAAATGAAAGATGCCTGACAGATGAGCCATTTCACAAAGATCAAGGCTGTTATATACTGAATATTCTTTTGCGGAATTATCAGTGAAATGTTAGTTGATGTCACGGAGTTCTTGGTGGGAATCTTTTGATTAGTCTGACTTTTGTCCTTGGCAATGTGTAACTAGGAAGAACTTTCTTTTGCTTTCACTCTAAGAGTTCTATATCTAACACTGGCAGAAAAAGAGGTTCTTTGGAAAGGTATTCAATTAACTTTTAATTATATAGTCTATGAGAGACAAAGAGATGTGGAGTTGTCACGTTAATTGTAACCATAATATTTGATTTTTATGTACTGTCTTGTCATCTTAAGTACTTAACACTATAGCACAATTTTTGTTAAGTGTGTAAAACATTTGAAATGAGGCACTGTGAAATATTTACCCAGGTGACTTACATCAGTGGTGATTAATTTATTGATAATTTTTTTCTAGCTTTTTATAAAGATTCTGGTAAATGTGCATAATACCCCTAAATTCCTTAAAACTAATTTAATTACATAAAAGTTGTTATTTTTGGCTTATCATCTCAATATTTGATGAACCAAAATACCGTACCAGCTAATAACATAATATTTGAACTTAGTGTAAGTTCTTAACTGTGCTGTTTACTGCCACATGTTGTTTTGTGAGGCTCAGAATGTGTTTTGGATATTAGCAGAAGAGAAGTAGTCATTTCCAAATTATAGTGTAATTTTTTTTTTTTTTTGAGACAGAATCTCGCTCTGTCACCTAGGCTAGAGTGCAGTGGCGCAACCTCGGCTCACTACAACCTTCATCTCCTGGGTTCAAGTGATTCTCCTGCCTCAGCCTCCCGAGTAGCTGGGATTACAGGCATGCACCACCACACCCAGCTATTTTTTTTTTTTTTTTGAATTTTTAGTAGAGACAGGGTTTTACCATGTTGGCCAGGCTGGTCTCAAACTCCTGACCTCAAGTGATCTACACGCCTAGGCCTCCCAAAGTGCTGGGATTATAGGCATGAGCCACTGCGCCCGGCCTATAGTGTAAATTTTTAATGTTTTTTTTTTCTGGAGTTTTCCCTCCAATTTTTTTCTTCACATGGTAGCCAAAATGCAATGCAAAATGCAAATCTGATAGGACCTCCTTTATTTCAGTGGTTTAGAATAAAACCCAAAATGTTGACAAGGCTTTAAGTCCCTTTGTGATCTGACTCCTTCCTGCCTTTTCAATCACATCTTTCCAATGCTAGTCATACTTGTAGTGTTTAAACAGTTTTCTTTTCCTGTCTAAGGACCCTTGAACATGTGGTGGTTGCCTCTGCTCAAAATGTACTTTTCTCCCACCCATGATCTGTAATTAATCTTTTAGGTCTTTACTTAAAGACATTTCCTTAGGCTGGGATTTCCTTAGGCAGAATTTTAGCAAGCATGGTAAAGCAGAGCCCACTTTGTCAAGGAAACATGGATATGCATGCAGTCTTACTCATTTTCAACGTATAGATTGAGCTGTAAGCTTGATCATAATCACTCCTTACTTAATTTGCATTTCTACCATGTAGAAACTAATTTGAAATTATAGAAGGTGGCATTACAGACAAGAGATAGCATGGAAAGAGCTCTGAATCAGCCTGAGTCTCAGTATCTTCATGTATAAAGTATTATGCTCATTCTAGTTCTAATTTGATTCGAAATTACATGAAAATAAGTTTCATAATGTATATTATTTAAATTATTTTAAAATATCATTTTTAAGTTTTTTAAAAAACTAATTAGATGTACCTATTATTTTGCCATGTTACCATGCTCTAAAATAGTTATAATTAAATCCGCTAAAAGGAACTGAACAATTACATTGATGCTATTGCTTGCTTGGTAAACTTCTACTTGCTCCCCTACAGAGCTCTAGTTTGCACTGAGCTAAATTCTTATTCTGTTGTATATTTGTAATGAAAATGCTTTTTGTATGTGAGTTTTTGTTTATCTGATTAATAGCTTTCAGAGGTGGCTGTGAGGTCTTATAGAGGTACAGAATTTTTAGGGCTAAAAGGTTATTTTATACTATTTCTTTTAGGTGAGGGAGCTAAGACTAGGGAAGATAAGGTAAGCAAGTAATGGTGGCAGAAATGGTTCTGTTCAGTGTGTGGTGACTTTATGGTTTTCTTTTTGCAGAGTGTTTTTTCTTTTTTTTCCTTTCCCCCTCCAGTTTTTCAATGGGTGTGGAGATCATGCAGGAGCAATAGAGAAAACGAGAAAATTGTGGACGAGCAAAACTGGGCAACATTGTTCTTGGACAGATAGTCTGAAAGTGAGCCGTTTGCTTGAGGATAATAAGTTGAGTGTAAGATGGGTCACACATATAAGTACAAGAGGTTATCAATTCAAGTTCTAAAAATCTGCTCTGTTCTTGTAAGGACACTGTTAAATAAATGTGTGTTTCTATCGTTCTTTCATTTACCTGAGGTAGTCCATTTTAATAAAATTTATCCAAAATAAAGAAGCCCAGACCATGAGTCTAACCATGTATGCAGTTAATTTTTATTCAGGTCACTATTTATTTTCATTATTTCCTCAACTGGAATGAGCAGCACTTTTACACTGACATGCAAAACAGATGGATTTTTGATTATTAAACCTATTGAATTAATAAGCTCATTTAAAAAATTGGGTATTCTCCCCTCACCTCACTTTCTATTTCTCAGTCAAGTTGCTTTAATTAGGATTTTAATGTAATGTGTAATCTGAATATGGCAAAAAGTGAACTGTTAAGTATTATTTAGAAATCACTAAATTTTTGAATAAAAGATTCAGTGATTAATATTGAATAAAAGGTTTTATGGAGATATATAATACTGACCCAATTAAATATATATATATATATAATAACACTATTATTTTGCTATTTTGCTTTAAGATGATGCCCTTGCAGTTTTTAGGTATTTTAAATCAGTTTTAAGGCTTTAAAGTCAAAATTCATTGTTTAGATCTAAAAGGAATATTGTAAAAATTAATTAGTTGACCTTATTTCCAAAAATTAGTAGATTCAGAATACTGAAGTTCTTAGTTGGCAGAAGAACTCTATTGTCTAGTGACAAAATAGGTGACTTTTTCTTTTTCTTTTTTTTTTTTTTTGAGATGGAGTCTTGCACCTGTCGCCCAGGCTGGAGTGCAGTGGCACCATCTCAGCTCACTGCGACCTCCGCCTCCTGGGTTGAAGCGATTCTCCTGCCTCAGCCTCCCGAGTAGCTGGGATTACAGGCGCCCACCACCATGCCTGGCTAATTTTCGTATTTTTAGTAGAGACAGGGTTTCGCCATGTTGGCCAGACTGGTCTCGAATTCCTGACCTCCTGATCTGACCTCGTGATCTGCCCGCCTCAGCCTCCCAAAATGCTGATTACAGGCTTGAGCCACTGTGCCCAGCCCTAGATGATTTTTTCATAGACGTTTTTTCTCAGGTTTTTAACTGCAGTGCCATTTTAGTGTTTCACATCTTGACTCACATTGGAGCCCTTTGTTGCCCAGATACAATTAGGGACCAGATTTCCACCTGGGATGGCAACCACATTGTGGGGACCTCTAGTTGGGGGCTCCTGAATTGACTGAATGTACCCTTTGTTGCTTAGCTAAGTTAGAGCTACTTTTCTGTTTTTCAGCTAAGTTTCCATGTTGTGCAGAGAGGGGCTATGACCTCAAATCAGCTGAGTGGATGATCTGTCCATGTTCAATTTCCATGGCTCCTCTTCACTGGTATAGATAACCAGACAGTGACTGCACTTCTTTATGCAATATTTAGCACAGTATCAAGTTGGAGACTTTCATATGTGCTTTTGGTTGAGGTGATTTTGTTTTGGCAGTACCAAATTTCTTGCTATTTCTTGTGCCTCATTTATGCAGCGTGACGGAAAGATTGAGAGAATTCTATGTGGGGTGTGCTTTGTTTCCTGGGCAGGGCCCAGCCCAGAGTTTACCAAGGTGGCTTGACATAAGCACTACTATTAGATTTAACTAACTACTAAGCAGTTTTATTGGGTGGCTCCTTGAATGTGGCAAACACTTAAATGCAGTCCCTGCTTTAAATGAACTTATTGTCATAAGATTTCCTTTTTATTTTTTCTCTATATCTTTGTTTACTTATTCTTTTCCATCATTGTGTTATAACAAACTATAGAAAATAATGTTTCCTATATTCCATGATGTATTCAGGAGGAAAAGGATAATTCATTAAGTTAAAATTATTTTCCCCAAGTCATTCCTGTGAAATTGCAGAATTGTAGAATCTTGCCAAAAAATTAATAATGATTACTTAAAATATTTAAGTAGTTTAAAAGTAGGTAAACTGTTGTGTGTTTTATGGTGGGGTTGATTTTAAGTAAATAATTCCTTAATTATTCTCTTTACTTTCATTTTGTTTAGTCTATGTTTCACTCATTGTTTGGTGAGGAAGGGTCTAGAGTATTTATAAATCTGTTTCTTAAAAGATCATCATATTTGTTCTGTTTTCTAAAAACACTGCTTAATATTTGATGACATTTTCTTCTAGTACTTACTATAATTTTTTGAGAATGAATATTTTATTTTGGCCGGACACGGTAGCTCACACCTGTAATCCCAGCACTTTGGGAGGCTCAGGCAGGTGGATCATCTGATGTCAGGAGTTCGAGACCAGCCTGGCCAACATGGTGAAACCCTGTCTCTACTAAAAATACAAAAATTAGCTGGGCCTGGTGACGGGTGCCTGTAATCCCAGCTACTCAGGAGGCTAAGGCAGGGCAGGAGAATCACTTGAACCTGGGCGGTGGAGGTTGCAGTGAGCTGAGATCGCGCCACTGCACTCCAGTCCGGGCAACAGAGCAAGACTTAGTCTGGAAAAAAAAAAATTTTATTTTAATAAGCATGTTTATCTTGTGGGTGCTGCAAGCCTACAACTACATCAGGAAGTGCAGATAGTACCATACGAAACTGCATATTAAATTGTATGTTCCTGATGGTGGTGAACTTCAGTAACTTCTTGTGTGTGTTTAATACTTAGAATAAACTGCATTCACAGAGACGTGAAATTAATAGCTAATGATGCTTTTTACTGAATCCCATTAGTCTTTTTTTTTTTTTTTGAGATGGAGCCTCGCTCTTTCGCCCAGGCTGGAGTGCAGTAGCATGATCTCGGCTTACTGCAACCTCCGCCTCCCAGGCTCAAGTGATTCTCTTTCCTCAGCCTCCCGAGTAGCTGAGATGACAGGCGTGTGCCACCACGCCCAGCTAATTTCTGTATTTTTAGTAGAGATGATGGTTTCCCCATGTTGGCCAGGCTGGTCTTGAACTGGTCTCAAGTAATCTGCCCGCCTTGGCCTCCCAAAGTGCTTGGATTTACAGGCTTGAGCCACCATGCTGGGCCTGAATATCCAATTAGTATTTTTTTTCTTTTTAAAATAAATATGGGAAGGACATTTTGCATTCTAATCTTTCTTCCAAAGATTTGTGTTGAAATACATGGTAAATTTTTTCCTCACAGGATTATTGTGAGAAGAAGTTACGAAATAACCTATTAGCATCCTCTACTCTATAAATTAATTTCTTCTCCAAACTTGAGATTTTGGGGTTTTCACTGGTTCTGTTATTTGTGAAATAATTTGTGTTCACCCTCTGTCACTACCTCTTGCCTTTGGAATCTGTGCATTTTGAGTCAGTTACCTTTCAGCATTATTTTCAGGCTGTAGATTTAAAAGTTTTATAGTTCACTTTCATACGGGAGGCCCCCAGCCCTTACCTTCCTAAAAATTTTATTTTCCTTACATGGATTGTCAGGCTCTTGTTAAGAAATGGTTTTATATAAAATAGACTTAGGTAGTATTTTGTTTTCTGTTTCCGATATGCACTCTGCTAATGGCCACTATTACCATTGGCCTTTCTGACTGTAACAGCACATTGGACATGTTACTGTTCAGGAAACAGTATATAATGACTCCCAGATCTCTTTCCAGAGCTCTCTTATTTTATGAGTGTAATAATCCCTTCTCATTTATGAGTTTGCCTTATTTGGAATTCAGATCTAATGTAAATTTACTTCTGTACTGTATATGTTTTTCAGAACCTCTGCTGGACATCTGAGTCACTTGTTTCTACTTTTGTTCTTCTGCCAATTTCCTCTTAGGTGATTGGTCACATATATACTAAGTATCATGAAAATGTATTATATTTTATCATTGTGCTACGTGTACTACCATGTGGTATTTGTAGCCTTTGTGATATTGGGCAAGAAAAGATTAAAAAGAAACATTGTTTATGCTGTTAGAGATATTACTGCCCAGGTAAATGTCTAGTAGTGTTATATAAAGGAAAAGACTCTTCCTGCTAGAGAGGATTTAAAATGACTCTCCTGTAATCAAGCTTGAGGAATATTGACTATGGAAGCAAAGCTCTCAGGCACCAGAGAGCTGTAGTATCACGGAGCATTTTTATTAATTTATAAAACTGGTAACTAACATTTTGCCTCAAATGCTTTTTAAAAATCAAAGCTTTTTATAGGAATTAATAGGTATGGATGTTTTTAAAGTCCCTATTTTGAGAAAATGTCTAAGCAAAGTCTAAGAATGGACCTTCAGATGAGGTGTGAATGAATTATAGCCAATAATGAAGTGTAAAGAGACTTTCAAAAGAAGTCCACAGCTTCTATTCCATGCTTTATCCAAAGGATGGAGAAAATTCCAGTTTTTTTGGATCATGGCAGGAAAATCTGGTTGCTGGTTGATTCTTAACCTTTCTTGGGTCACATCAGGTATAGTGTGATGTCAAAGGGTGAATCTGATGAGAAGTATGGATCATCTTTACGTAAAATTTCATATATTTACATGCATAATTTTGCATGTTCTTTAACAGGATTCACAGAAGTCCTAAAACTCCATGGACCTCCTGGTTAAGGACACATTTATGCTAATGTCAGAAATATTCAAGCAGCTTTTAGAATTAAACTTAAATGACTATGCAAGTGTAAATATCTATGAGCTAAGGTAGGAGGCAGGTCCTTCCCAGTAACTAACTACATCCTTTCCTTCTTATTTTAGCCCCATGTATTTACCTATTTCATCTTAAGTTCTAATACTACTTAAGAGTGTAGCTTATTACCAGTTTAGGGTAGAGAAATACCATTGGTAGCTATTCAGTGTCTTCTTTGTTCCCCGCATTTCATTTTAGGGAATATAAAGCATTTGTGAACCATTATAGATTGTTTTGCAATCTCATTAAAAGATTAGGTTATGAGTTCTTTATCTAAGATTTCTCGGCCAGGCGTGGTGGCTCATGCCTGTAATCCCAGCACTTTGGGAGGCCGATATGGGCGGATCACTTGAGCTCAGGAGTTCGAGACCAGCCTGGCCAATATGGTGAAACCCCGTCTCTACTAAAAATACAATAATTAGCCGGGCGTGGTGGTGCACGCCTGTAGTCCCAGCTACTCTGGAGGCTGAGGCAGGAGAATCGCTTGAACCGAGGAGGCAGAGGTTGCAGTGAGCCAAGAGTGTGCCACTGCACTCCAGCCTGGGCAACAGAGCGAGACTCCGTCTCAAAAAAGAAAGAAAGAAAGAAAGAAAGATTTCTCCTACCATGAGGATTTTTAAGAACTTAATCATCATGATTTGAAAGTTTTATTATCCATTAAATCTATTATATTATGCTTACCTTCATTGTAGATTTTTGTTTCTTTATATATATCTCCCTAGTTTTTCTAATTGTTGATCTTTGTTAGTATTGACATTTCTCATCATCTTCATATTAGAAGATTTCAGTATTGTTTCTTGTTCTAGATAACTTATAAAAATATTAAGTGGGTTGATCCTGTAGCCATCTTGGAATGGTTCATTGTGGAGTACTTTTGGAGTAGTTTATTTTTCGTACCAACGGTTAGTCCATTCTTGCATCACTTAAAAAGGAATACCTGAGACTGAGTAGTATAGAGAAAAGAGGTTTAGTTTAGTTGGCTCACAGTTCTGCAGGGTAGATATGATGCATAGTGCCAACACCTGCTTCTAGTGAGGGCCTCAGGAAGTTTATAAACGTGGTGAAAGGTGAAGGGGGAGCCAGCACATCACATGGTGAGAGTGGGAGCAAGAGAGAGTAGGAAAAGTGTCACACCCTTTTAAACAAACCAGATCTCCGTAGAACTCACTATCTTGAGGACAGCACCATGCCGTTCATGCCGTTCATGAGAGATCCACCCTGATGACCCATACACCTCCCACCAGGGTCCACCTCCAACACTGGGGATTATATTTCAACATGAGATTTGGAGGGATGAAGAAAATGCCAGTTTTTTCAAGTGCCTCTCTCTCCCTCACTTGTGTCGTAGGCTTCCCTTAAGACAGCGATCAAGTCTTACTAATTTTGTATCATCAGTTCCTAGCATGGTGGTACCTAACATTGTATTTCAGCATCCTAATAGTAGATTCAGTAGATTGAATGAATGATTGACTTCTACATTTCCAATACAGGTATTTAAAAAAGTAATCTACTTGAGGCCTTTGTTAAGGAGGCTTTTTGAAAGTCTAACCTTTGTTTGATTATCTCTACCTCCAGAAGAAGAGTTGTGTGCATCGTCAGGTATATGCTAGACCAGTTCAAGTCTAACACTTATTCCCAGGATGTTAGTTTCTAAAATCCTGGTTGATTGTTTGAAATCTTGGAGGGAACCTTCAGAAAAATATTAATAATATACTTTTAGGTTTTGAGATAAAATCTTTGAAAGGGATTCAGGCAGGCTTTAAAATTACTGATCAGAGATGGCCTTTCCACTTTTAAAGAAAAGATTGAAGGGAATGGTACTATCTGAAAGAGTAATGCATTGAATATCTGACCTTAAGTATTTGTTTTCCCCTAGGAGATAGCATGATGTGGTTCTTTTAATGCCACTTCAAGAATATGTATATCAAAGTTAAATAGTAGGGACATTACTTATTTTTTTAAATGAAAAGTATTTTGGAATTCACTTTTTACTCAATTGTTTAAATTCTTAGAAATCAAGGATTGTATATGACTAGGTTCATGTCTATCAATAAAACAATAGCTTATAAAATTTTTTTAGGCAATAGTGATTGTTATGTTACTAACATAGTATTCTCCAAATTTTTTAGCAGTCATGATTTCTGAACTTTGAGTGGAAATGAAAAACAAAAACAAAAAACAAACCTTGAATTAGGGGTAATAAAGCAGGAAGGAAGCTGGTAGAAAAGCCTTCTGTATCTTCAAGCAATATCCCACCAAGAGGATATTACCAAGCTATAATTGACAACTTTGGGGAATTAAACTTCATATGGCAATGCCAAAGGCTCTAGTAATCATTAATGGTAAATGTCTGCTACTATGTTGGCTTTTATTATTACTAGCTGTAGAAAAAGCTAAAAATATGACTGAATTGGTGTTGTTACACTTTGAACATCCTCTATATTATTTCCTGGTATTGTTTTTAAAAGTACTTTTTAGTGTTTCCCTTTACTGATGCTTTGTAAAGTCCATCAAAGGACATTAAATACATAGATTTTATTTTTAAATTGTAAGGGATTGTAAGTAGAATAAACACCTTCATTTCTTTCAGAAATAGAAATTTTTTTTAAATTATTTTATTATACTTTAAGTTTTAGGGTACATGTGCACAACGTGCAGGTTTGTTACATATGTATACTTGTGCCATGTTGGTGTGCTGCACCCATTAACTCGTCATTTACATTAGCTGTATCTCCTAATGCTATCCCTCCCCCCTCCTCCCACCCCTCAACAGTCCCCGGTGTGTGATGTTCCCCTTCCTGTGTCCAAGTGTTCTCATTGTTCAATTCCCACCTGTGAGTGAGAACATGCAGTGTTTGGTTTTTTGTCCTTGCGATAGTTTGCTGAGAATGATGGTTTCCAGCTTCATCCATGTCCCTACAAAGGACATGAACTCATCATTTTTTACGGCTGCATAGTATTCCATGGTGTATATGTGCCACGTTTTCTTAATCCAGTCTATCACTGATGGACATTTGGGTTGGTTCCAAGTCTTTGCTATTGTGAATAGTGCCGCAGTAAACATACATGTGCATGTGTCTTTATAGCAGCATGATTTATAATCCTTTGGATATATACCCAGTAATGGGATTGCTGGGTCAAATGGTATTTCTAGTTCTAGATCCCTGAAGAATCGCCACACTGACTTCCACAATGGTTGAACTAGTTTACAGTCCCCCCAACAGTGTAAAAGTGTTCCTATTTCTCCACATCCTCTCCGGCACCTGTTGTTTCCTGACTTTCTAATGATCGCCATTCTTACTGGTGTGAGATGGTATCTCATTGAGGTTTTGATTTGCCTTTCTCTGATGGCCAGTGATGATGAGCATTTTTTCTTGTGTCTGTTGGCTGAATAAATGTCTTCTTTTGAGAAGTGTCTGTTCATATCCTTTGCCCACTTGTTGATGGGGTTGTTTTTTTCTTGTAAATTTGTTTGAGTTCTTTGTAGATTCTGGATATTAGCCCTTTGTCAGATGAGTAGATTGCAAACATTTTCTCCCATTCTGTAGGTTGCCTGTTCACTCTGATGGTAGTTTCTTTTGCTGTGCAGAAGCTCTTGAGTTTAATTAGATCCCATTTGTCAATTTTGGCTTTTGTTGCCATTGCTTTTGGTGTTTTAGACATGAAGTCCTTGCCCATGCCTAAGTCCTGAATGGTATTGCCTAGGTTTTCTTCTAGGGTTTTTCTGGTTTTAGATCTAAGGTTTAAGTCTTTAATCCATCTTGAATTAATTTTTGTATAAGGTGTAAGGAAGGGATCCAGTTTCAGCTTTCTACATATGGCTAGCCAGTTTTCCCAGCACCATTTGTTATATAGGGAATCCTTTCCCCATTTCTTGTTTTTGTCAGGTTTGTCAAAGATCAGATAGTTGTAGATATGTGGTATTATTTCTGAGGGCTCTGTTCTGTTCCATTGGGCTATATCTCTGTTTTGGTAGCAGTACCATGCTGTTTTGGTTACTGTAACCTTGTAGTATAGTTTGAAGTCAGGTAGCATGATGCCTCCAGCTTTATTCTTTTGGCTTAGGATTGACTTGGCAATGCGGGCTCTTTTTTGGTTCCATATGAACTTTAAAGTAGTTTTTTTCAATTCTGTGAAGAAAGTCATTGGCAGCTTGATGGGGATGGCATTGAATCTATAAATTACCTTGGGCAGTATGGCCATTTTCACGATATTGCTTCTTCCTATCCATGAACATGGAATGTTCTTCCATTTGTTTGTATCCTCTTTTATTTCGTTGAGCAGTGATTTGTAGCTCTCCTTGAAGAGGTCCTTCACATCCCTTGTAAGTTGGATTCCTAGGTATTTTATTCTCTTTGAAGCAATTGTGAATGGGAGTTCACTCATGTGGCTCTCTGTTTGTCTGTTATTGGTGTATAAGAATGCTTGTGATGTTTGCACATTGATTTTGTATCCTGAGACTTTGCTGAAGTTGCTTATCAGCTTAAGGAGATTTTGGGCTGAGATGATGGGGTTTTCTGGATATACAATCATGTCATCTGCAAACAGGGAGAATTTGACTTCTCTTTTCCTAATTGAATACCCTTTATTCCTTTCTCCTGCCTGATTGCCCTGGTCAGAACTTCCAACACTATGTTGAATAGGAGTGGTGAGAGAGGGCCTCCCTGTCTTGTGCCAGTTTTCAAAGGGAATGCTTCCAGTTCTTGCCCATTCAGTATGATATTGGCTGTGGGTTTGTCATTAATAGCTCTTATTATTTTGAGATACGTCCCATCAATATCTAATTTATTGAGAGTTTTTAGCATGAAGGGCTGTTGAATTTTGTCGAAGGCCTTTTCTGCATCTATTGAGATAATCATGTGGTTTTTGTCATTGGTTCTGTTTATATGCTGGATTACGTTTATTGATTTGCGTATGTTGAACCAGCCTTGCATCCCAGGGATGAAGCCTACTTGATCATGGTGGATAAGCTTTTTGATGTGCTGCTGGGTTCGGTTTGCCAGTATTTTATTGAGGATTTTTGTGTCAATGTACATCAGGGATATAGGTCTAAAATTCTCTTTTTTTGTTGTGTCTCTGCCAGGCTTTGGTATCAGGATGATGCTGGCCTCATAAAATGAGTTAGGCAGGATTCCCTCTTTTTCTATTGATTGGAATAGTTTCAGAAGGAATGGTACCAGCTCCTCCTTGTACCTCTGGTAGAATTCAGCTGTGAATCCATCTGGTCCTGGACTGTTTTTGGTTGGTAAGCTATTAATTATTGCCTCAATTTCAGAGCCTGTTATTGGTCTATTCAGAGATTTAGCTTCTTCCTGGTTTAGTCTTGGGAGGGTGTATGTGTCGAGGAATTTATCCACAGAAATAGAAATATTTCTAGCTAAGATTGGCTTTTTTATTAAGAAAATTTCAAACATACTCAAGAGAAGAAATACAATATATACACAGTACCTAGATTGAACAGTTACCAAGATTTTCCCCATGGCTGCTTGTGCTGCTGCTGTTGCTGGTGGTAGTGCTGCTGCCTCCCCCTCCCTCTCCATCTTCTTCCTTTTCTTTCTTCTGCTTTTCTGCCTTTTTTTTTTTTTTTTTTTTTTTTTTTGCTGATGTATTTCAAAGCAAAATGGGACACTGTGTTATTTTACAAATGTGTACTTCACTTTAAATCTCTACCCGCTAAAAGGAAATTTTCTTATATCACATAATGCCATTATTATTTTTTTCCATGTGTGAGACAGCATCTTGCTCTGTCACCCAGGTTTGAATGCAGTGGTGCAGTCACAGCTCACTGCAACCTTGACCACCTGGGCTCAATTGATCCTCTCATCTCAACCTCCTGAGTAGCTGGGACTACAATTCCATCATTATTTTGATGTTTTGGTACTCATCTTCTGGCCATCAACTCATGTTTTTGTATTTACCTATCTCCACATTTAAGCCATTGTCATACTTCAGGAAATCTATGTTCCATATCTTTAATAAATTTTCTTTTTTTTTTATTTTTCAAAAAACCTAACTTTAAATTTATCTTTGACCTCAAAGTAGCAGTTTTCATTTTTTTGTAACCTAGAAGAAAACAGAAAATAGATTATTTTTTCATGTGGTTAAGTCATGTACAATAATCAGCCTCCAAAAACAAATTTAAAAAGTATTTCCTGAATGGTATCCCAGTTTCCTACTACATTATTGGTTTGTTCAAATTTTTTTCCAAATTCAAAAGTGTACGTTTTAGAAGTATACATTTAGTTGAACAATAGGAGAAATTCTCATATTATAATCTGGCTGTGTAGGGAATCATACTAATTCTGTTTATGTAGTCTAGCAGTGCTTCTCAAATTATCTGTGGTAAAGGACTTTTTTTAAACTCTATATTTTCAATCCATTGCAGACTAATATTTTTAAAAATGCAATAAAAATGTTATAGTTGTGTCCAATAACTATAAAATTTTCTAAACTCTTATTCTTAATTTCTTTATCCCATCGTGAACTGTACTAGTTTGTGGACTAGCACTGGTCCGTGGAACAACTTGAATAGCTTTGAGATATTGTTACTATTAAACGTGGTACAGGTAATTGATGTATACTTACCTATTATCTGGGATTATAAACCCCAGGAACTTTTTTAAAAAGAGTAAATGATATGCTTCCTATGTATTTCCCTTTATCTGTCCCCTTTGTAGCTCTTCTTGTTTGGTGCATGTAAGACTATTGGTAAACATGTATCAATAATTGTATGGGGTCATTGGAATGTTCAGTTGGGTTGGAGAAGCAATTTGATCATTCTCCTCATAAAATGTGCAAGATCCAAATTTGTTCTTAAAAGGTGTGTGTGTGTGTGCGTGTGTGTGTGTGTGTGTATGCGGCACATGAGGTGTAACTGGAAGCCTTAGACATGACTCAGAGAAACAGTACAGTAAGATATCAATAGTGTTAGATTAGGAGTCACAGGACCTGGATTTCAATCCCTTTTTCATGACTTAGAACCATGTATTTTGACTTCTCTCTGGGCTTGTTTATTCATCTGTAAATTGGGGTTACTAACTACTTTGCCAAGTTTTGAATGTCATAAACTCATCTTTTAATCAGTTGTTTATTCTCTAGGAGCCCTTAGCAACAAGGTGTTTGTGAGTTGATTCTGCTGAGGGAAGAGTTAAGAAAGAAAAGCAAAAAATAAAAAATAAAAAAAGACGGTATTTCATTCTAGTTCTGCAGAACTGGATTGCCTCAGCTACTTTATACATTTGTATACGAATATATACTTTTTTTTTTTTTTGAGATGGAGTTTCACTCTTATTGCCCAGGCTAGAGTGCAATGGCGCGATCTCGGCTCACTGCAGCCTCCACCTCCCAGGTTCAAGTGAGTCTCCTACCTCAGCCTCCCGAGTAGCTGAGATTACAGGCACATGCCGCCACGCCTGGCTAATTTTTGTACTTTTAATAGAGACGGGGTTTCACCATGTTGGTCAGGCTGGTCTCGAACTCCTGACCTCAGGTGATCCACCCACCTCAGCCTTCCAAAGTGCTGGGATTACAGGCGTGAGCCACTGCGCCCAGTCACAAATGTATGCTTTTATGTATTTGCTGTACTTTCGGTTTACTACTTTATAGCTTCTTTACCTACTACTGAGTACAGTTTATCTTTTCTTTATAGTTTCTTTTTACTCTTAAGTGTTTATAGTTGAGCATACTGAATGATCATCAAAGCTCCTTTGATATTTCTATTTTAGCTTTAGTTCTTTCTTCTAACTGCATCATTTTCTCAGTATATCCCACTTTACATTCCTGAGTGAGGGAATCTGATTGACTCAACTAATAATTCTTATATGGGATGAGCTATATCAAGGGTTGCTGGCCAGCTGTGGACTGCCTGCCTTAAGATCAGGTATTCCCATCTGGTTTGGTCACGCGTGACTAGGCTATATCTTGGTTGTAGAGCTTGATAGGGGATGTGGGAATGGCATGCTTGTTGCAGATGCGATGGTCTAAGTGAACAGACTATAAAAGGAAATGAAATTCTTAAAGGTGAATACATGCACATTCACTTATTCGTATTTGAGGGTAAAATATATTTGGAGGGAAGAGGGTAAATTATTTGAGAAAATTAGGTATAGGTTCAACATAGTGAACATGATGCTATAGGTATTCAGATTTCCTTAAACATTATACCTATTCCAACTCTGGTTGAAACCAACCTTTCTTAGATTGTAAAACCCATCAGGATCAAAGACCAAGGGGGCATGGCTATCAAGTAACTACCATGTCTATTTATTCCTAATACAGCACTTTGAAAAATCATGTTCCTATTGTTCTGGCAACCTCAAGGGAACTCTGAAAGCACTCAACTGAGTGACAGCATAACCCTGTAACACAATTTTGTTTTTCAAGTTCAGTAACTTTTAGGAAATGTTTTATTCTCATTAAAATGCACTGAAGATAAAGAGGATTTCTGTGGTGTTTATCTTTAATATTCTACATCTCTGTTAACATTTTATTTTCAAATTAAAAGCCTGTTTTAAGGGTCTTCTCTTATGTAAACTTTTTTGTTCCAAAAGGTTTTTGGTTAATTTTATCATTCATTGTAGAAAAAGCAGGGAAAAGTTGTAAAGGACCAAGTTGTAATGCTGAATTGCTCTTGCCAACTGCTAGTGCTGTTTAAAGGATATGATAGATTAAAGGCTGAAAGTTTTTAATTGAATCATAACTGTTAGACTTGCCAGTTATTTTAGACATCCTTTTAATTAAGGTGGGTCCATTTATTGCACCAGTATAAGATTATGTTTGTTATTTGCCTTTGTCCCCATAGCATAAAACCAAAGAAAAGGGTTGGATTTACTTTGTATTTGGGGGAAATCACAAAGCTGAGTATTTCTGACTTGAACACAGTTTCTAAAAATGGTGAACATTATTTGGAACAGCAAAGACTATAAGAAATTGAAATGTTCTAAATATAGTAATATTATTTGCTAATTGAAATGAAGATCTTCATTTAATAAGCTGTCTGGTTGTGTTTTTTTCCATTTCACACAATATTTATTGAGCTTATATTAATATTATGTGTTAGGGACAGTAGTAGGTCTTGATATCAATTAGGATGATATGTAAGAGACTATAAGAGAGGGTTGTTCCTTGGCTTAGCTTGGTAGTTGGAGTGGGAAAGCATTTTGGGAAGTATTTTGGAGCTAGAATTGATCTTTAATCTGTGGAGTTTTGGAAATCTGTGGAGGTGCTTCCGGGACTGCCATGAGTTTTTCTTTTGTTTGGGAGCGAGGGGTGCTTTAACTGGAACAGATCTATATCTAATTTTCTTGTATGTTAGGGTTCTGTGTAAGATATTATTTGGGCATAGGATTCTTTGTAAGGAATTCATCTTCTTTCTCTTTTAAATTCCTGGTAACTTCATAACCTATACCAGTCAGATTTGCCATTACTTCAGTGAGGTTATTTATGTACATCTCTAACTAAATTATATATTCCCTATGAGTATTTTACTTGATATTGCCCATATACCTTATATTTATCCTTTGAATGTGTAGGGGAGAAAAAATATCTTTTTCTCACGCATTGCCAGGTGCATGGCGGAGGCCCCTGCAACAAAAGACAGATTAACAAGAGAGAAGCATACAGATTTATTTACTATAATAAATAAAGTGACACAGGAGCCTTCATAAGGAAATGAAGACATGAAGAAAGGGGTAAATCTGTGTATATTTTATGCTGGGCTTGATGAGGAAGTGGATAATCGTGAAGCATGATTGGATAAAAAAGTGTGATCTAATGTTAGTCAGCTGGGGGGAATTTAGCAAGGCCTGTTTGTTCAGATTCTACTCTGTGACTTTGTGTCTTCAAAGATTAGGATGTTTCTTTCTTTTGGGGATATGGAGGGCACCTCTTCAGTGAGGATCTTGCGACTTGCTTCCTGACTAGGTCAGAAAGCTTTTGTAGTGTTCATGACCTACTTCAGGGGAGAAGGGGAAGAGGGAGAACAGAGGCTGCCTTTCCAGCTTCTTTGTTTTTCCCAGATATGTTCAGCTTAAAATGTTTTGGGGGAGTGTGTCCTGCCCAAGTACATATGTCCTGAATGCCATCAAATAAATGCCAACTAGGTGGTAGGTCCTGTGCTGCGCGGTGTGAATGCAGAACCAGTATTCTTAAAATCTAGTGAGAAAACATATATGAACATGATTATGCTTCTGATATGTAAATGCTACCCTTTTAGGCATGCAAAAAGTTCTGGGAGGACACAGTGTCATTATATGTAGTCAGTAAATACTGTACAGTAAATACTGTACAAGTATTGCTCAATGAATGAATGTTAATTAAAATATACTAGGGTAGTATAAGAAACCTCACAAAAGTCCTTGGCATTATGATTTAACTATGTAACATATATTTAATATTGTAGAGTAAAATGAAACTTGTTAGGTTCTTTTTAAGTGTGATAGATAAGTTAGAGCCTTTGATTATGGCTTGAGGTATTAAATCTCTGTCTAGTGTATTTGTATATTTAATTTTCTGTACTTATAAAAATTAAAAATCATATCTTATGGGCAAAATGTTTTTTTTTTTCAGATATTGAATAATATAGGAGACGAGTATAAAGTAGGAGTTGGAAGACCTGGTTTCTCTGGACTCTGTTTCTCTTATTAGCTGTTTGACCTTAGGCAAATAATTGAACTTAGCTGAACTTCAGTTTTAGGGAATCATAATATTAAATAGTGAGCTCCTTGAGGACAGTGTCTGTGCCGTATTGATTTTTGCTAGGGTGACCAACCATCTTGGCTTGCCGGGGACTTTGTTTTAGCACTGAAAGTTCCATGTCCCAAGAAACTCTTCAGTCCTGGGCCAAGCAGGATGTTAGTCATTCCAGTAGTATCACTAGTGGCTAGCTCTTGGCTGGCACTTAGTAACTGTTCAGTAAGTGACTGGAATTAAATGTCTCCTCTGTCTTTTTCACAGAATTGATGTAAAGATCATATTATATTTTGTGAAAGTATTTTGAAAATAATAAAAGCTGTACCAATAAAGTTGATATTGTTCTTCCCATCAGTATTCTCTTGGAATGAATTCATCTCAGAATTTGTGTAGGAGTTAATTTGGTATATAAATGTTTGATTACTCAATGTTTCCAGTTCGTGTCTGTTGCCTAAAGTGAGATACATGTGAGTACATATTATCTTCTAAATTTATTTCTTCTTCCCAGAAGTAAATGAGATGTGAATTAAAAATTGATCCTGTAGTCTTGTAGTTTCACGTTTAATAATATGACTTTTAGTTTTAACTGAGGAGCTGATTTCACATTTGAATGAGTATTTGGCTTCTGTTGTATTTGATTATTGTACATGTTTTATCTTAGGCTTAAAAGCCATTTTATAGGACATCTTTTAATTATGATCTTAGTAGATCTAATAACCCTAACACTTGGAAAGTTTAGAATAATAAATGTAAAGATGCCTAAGTGGGCACTATATGTATCTAGGAACTAAATGCTCTGTAAATTTCTCAGGTATAGTAAAGTCCTGAGGAAAGCAGGTGGAGTTTTCCAGACAACCTACCTCTGGGCAACCCTTTCTGTCCTTTTTAAAGCAACTTTCTCCCTATACCTTCTGTATTTGTATTGACTGAGCAAATTCTCAGTCACATTTGCTTATTTGCTACTAACTATGTAGCTTAAATCTTGTGTCAGTTACTTAAGTGCCTCTTCTAGAGATTCTCTTAACCATCAAAGTGATCTGCAACTCTTTCTCTTTGGAGACACTTGAGGATGGGTATGGAACTCTCTTCTTGTAGAGTTGCCAGTAGAGGCAATTCCCACCCCCCTATTTATTGGTTATTTTCTGCTTCTTTTCTTGAACTATTTTAAAATTTTTCATTCTTAAATAAAACATCAGGGAAACTCCACAGTCTCTTGCTAGCCACAATGTTTCTGCTGTAACTAAAGAATGACAATGTGGCATGGTATTGTGTTGCAGGGTAATGCTGTAACTTAATAAGTGATTTTAAGAGTTTCCTTGAGGTTGCCATAAAGCTAGAAGACATGATTTCAGAAAGCACTGTATTAAGGATAAATAGATGGTGGAGTTACTTGGTAGTCATGCCCCGTTGGTCTTTGATCTTGTTGGATCTTACAATCTAAGAAAGGTTGAGTTTGACCAGCATCTGAATAGGTGTGATGTTTAAGGAAAGCCGAATACCTCTAGCATAATTATGTTCACTGTGTCGAACCTATACTGTAAAGTTTGTGAACCAAGATTGTCTTTTTGGATTGAGGAGCTTGTTTTTGAGAGTCTTGATTGTTATTGGTATATAAAACTTCTCTTTGTCTGTTGCTCATGTGGTATGTGATCTTAGGTAGAGTAAATTTATATGATGAGAAATCCCAGGATAATTATGAGACTGGGATACATGTATGCAAAATGTGAAAATATAGCTTTCCATTCTTCTTTAGATATTTCCCCAATAAAACTCCAAATTTAAAACAACCTGAATCCTTGACTGGACAGCTATACCTCAGAGATATTGCAGGTTTGTATCCACACCACCACAAGAAGGTGAATATTGCAATAAAGCAAGTCATATGAATTTTTTTGTTTCCCAGTGCATATAGAAGTTATGTTTACTCTATACCATAGTCTGTTAAGTATGTAATAGCATTGTGTTTAAAAAACAATGTACATACCTTAATTTAAAAATACCTTATTGCTTAAAAATGCTAATGATCATTTGAGCCTTCGGTGAGTCATAATCTTTTTGCTGGTGAGGGTCTTGCCTTGATGTTGATGGCTGCCCACTGATCATGGTGGCGGTTGCTGAAGGTTGGGGTGGCGGTGGCAATTTAAAATAAGACAACAATAAAGTTTGCTACATTGATTGACCCTTTTTTAAATGAAAGATTTCTCTGTAGCAATTGATGCTGTTGTCTAGTATTTTACCGATCATAGAACTTTTTTTTTTTTTTGAGAGGGAGTCTCACTCTGTCACCTAGTCTGGAGTGCAGTGGTGTGATCTCGGCTCACTGCAACCTCTGCCTCCCGGGTTCAAGCAATTCTCCTGTCTCAGCCTCCTGAGTAGCTGGGACTACAGGCTCATGCCACCATGCCCAGCTAATTTTTGTATTTTTAGTAGAGACAGGTTTTCACCATGTTGGCCAGGATGGTCTCGATCTCTTGACCTCATGATCCGCCCACCTCTGCCTTCCAAAGTGCTCGATTACAGGCGTGAGCCACTGCGCCCGGCCAGAACTTCTTTCAAAATTAGAGTCAGTCTTCTCAAACCCTGCTGCTGCTTTATCAACTAAGTTTATGTAACATTTAAATCCTTTGCCGTGATTTCAGCAGTATTTACAGCATCTTCACCAGCAGTGGATTCTATCTCAAGAAACCACTTTTTTGCTCATCCATAAGAAGCAACTCTTCATTTGTTCACATTTGATCATGAAATTGAATCCATTCAGTCACATCTTCAGGCTCCACTTCTAATTCTGTTTTTTGTTTTGTTTTGTTTTGTTATTGCCACCACACCTGCAATGACTTCCTCCACTGAAGTCTTCTTCCTCACAGTCACACATAAGGGTCTTGGAGTCAACTTCTTCCATACTCCTGTTAATTTTGCTATTTTGACTTCCTCCTGTGAATCAGAAATGTTCTTAATGGCATCTAGAATGGTGAATTTTTTCCAGAAGGTTTTCGATTTACTTTGCCCAGATTCATCAGAGAAGTCACTATCTATGGCAGCTATAGCCTTACAAAATGTATTTCTTAAATAGTAACACTTGAAAGTCAAAATTACTCCTTGATTCAGGGACTACAGAATGAATGTGGTGTTAGCAGACATGGAAACAATATTAATCTCCTTGTACATCTCCATCAGAGCTCTTGGGTGACTAGATACATTGTCAGTGAACTATATTTTATTTTATTTTATATTTTTAGACAGGGTCTCACTTTGTCACCCAGGCTCTAGGGCAGTGGCATGATCTCGGCTCCCTGCAGCCTCTACCTCTCAGGCTGAAGTGATCCCACCTCACCCTCTCAAGTAGGTGGGACTACAGGAATGCACCACCAAGCCTAGCTACTTTTTTTTTTTTTTTTGTATTTTTTGTAGAGATTGGGTTTCACCATGTTGCCCAAGCTGATCTCAAACTACTGAGCTCAAGCAGTCTGCCCACCTTGACCTCCCAAAGTGCTAGGATTACAGGCATGAGCCACCACACCCAGCCATTATTTTTAAAGGAATTATTTTTTCTGAGCAGTAGGTCTCAACAGTGAGCTTAAAACATTCAGCAAACCATGTTGTAAACTTACATGCTATCATCCAGGCTTTGTTGTTTTATTTATAGAGCACAGGCAGAGTAGATTTAGCATAATTCTTAAGAGCCCTAGGATTTTCAAAATGGGAAATGAGCATTGGCTTCCTTTTAAAGTCGCCAGGTGGGTTAACTCCTAATAAAAGAGTCTGCCTGTCCTTTGAAGCTTTGTAGCCAGGCATTGACTTCTCCTCTCTACCTATAAGACCCAGATGACACCTTCTTCCTATGGAGGCTGTTTTGTCTGCATTGAAAATCTGTTGTTTAGCATAGCCACCTTCATCAGTTATCTTAGCTGTATCTTCTGGATTACTTGCTGCAGGTCCTCTATCAGCACGTACTGCTTCACCTTGTACTTTAATGTTATGGAGATGAGTTCTTTTCTTAAACCTCATGAACTAACCTCTGCTAGCTTCAAACTTTTCTTTTGTAGCTTTCTCACCTCTTTTAGCTTTTATAGAATTGAAGAGAATTAGGGTCTTGCTCTGGATTAGGCTTTCGCTCAAGGGAATGTTATGGCTGGTTTGATCTTCTATTCAGCCCACTCAGATTTTCTTGCTGTCAGTAATAAGGCTATTTCATTTTCTTATCATTTATGTGTTCACTGGAATAGTACTTTTAATATTTTTTGAGAACTTTTCCTTCGCATTAACAAGTTAGCTAACTTTTCAGTGCAAGAGGCCTAGCTCTTGGTCTTTTTTGGCTTTTGATATGCCTTCCTTGCAAAGCTTAATCATTTCTAGCTTTTGATTTAAAGTGAGAGATGTATGACTGTTCTTTTCACTTGAATACTTAGAGGCCATTGAAGGGTTATTAACTGGCCTAAATTTCAATATCGTTGTATTCCAGAGAATAGGGAGGCCCATAGGAGAGAAACAGAGATGGGAACAGTTGGTTGGGGGAGCACTCAGAACACACACATCTATTTAAGTTCACTGTCTTATATGGATGCAGTTCTTGGCAGCTGAAAATAATTAGAGTAGTAACACTGGGAATCACTGATCACAGATCACTATAACAGATACAATAATAATGAAAAAGTTTGAAGTATTGTGAGACTAACCAAAATGTAACACAGAGACACTAAGTGAGCACATGCTGTTGGAAAAGTGGCACTAATACACTTGTTTGACTCAGAGTTGCCACAAACCTTCAATTTGTAAAAGTCACAATATCTGCAAAGGGCAATAAAGCAGAGTAAAGTAAAAAGAGATATGCCTGTACGTTATTTAGCAAACAGCACTTTTAAAAAGGGTTAGATGTCTCTAGCTTTTCTCTGTTATTGTTGCAGCTTTATGAGGGATCCAGCAGAGTTGTAAAAGTGAAGAAATACTGGATAAACTGAAACTTTGTTAACATTGAATTAAAATAATAATAGTAACAATACATGCCAATGATTAATCTAGTACATACTAAGGGCCAGACATTAATAGAGAATGTTTAACATGTATTCTTTTTATTTAATCCTTACAGCAATTCAGTGGGATAGGTTTAGAATCATTATTTCCTGATGAGGAAACTGAGTCTTACAACTGTATCGAGGACTCACAGCAAACAGAGTGGAACTAGGATTTTTGAAGAGAAACGTAGGAATATCTGGCTCGAGCCCTCTTCTGAGATCATGATTCAGAGTTTGGGATTATGACAGTTAAATGTCTTTGGTGTTGGTAGAGTAATCCCTGCCTTTTCTGATCAGTCTTATCAGAGGGAGAACTGGATTGGATCAGAATAGATCTTTCTATTCAGAGACCCCGAGGTTCTGGCAAGGTCATAACTGCTCTGTAGATTGTCTTTCCCACTACTTGAGGAACAATGAAGAGCAAGTGCTGTAATCCCAGCACTTTGGGAGGCCAAGGCAGGCGGATCACCTGAGGTCGGGAGTTTGAGACCAGCCTGACCAACATGGAGAAACCCCATGTCTACTAAAAATACAAAATTAGCCGGGCATGGTGGCACATGCCTGTAATCCCAGCTACTCGGGAGGCTGAGGCAGGAGAATAGCTTGAACCCCGGAGGTGGAGGTTGTGATGATCTGAGATCACACCATTGCACCCCACCCTGGGCAACAATAGCAAAACTCTGTCTAAAAAAAAAAGAGCAAGTGACAGTCCCTTTTGGATTACTGTCGCTTTGGTTTTACTGATTTTTTTTAACTGTTACTATTTACACAAAAATAAGGCAAAAGCTTATCTTCTGACAGGCTCAAGCAAGCTTCCAGAAATATTAATTTGTAGAATATTTATGAATAGTATGTTCAATTAATGAGTTTTGAAATATGTACAAACCTTGATAAAGTGCTATATGTAATCTTACTTTTGCTTTCCATGTAGCAGTTAACTAATACTTGGTGCATAAATCTACAGCTGTGCCTTCAAACACAGTTGACTCTTGAACAACATGGGTTTGAGCTATGTGAGTTCACTTACAACAGTTTTTTTTCAAACATGGATGGAAAACACAGTATATGGAGGGCTGACTTCGTATATGTAGATGTGTCAGGGCTGACTGTGGGACTTGAGTATGTGCGGATTTGGTCATGCACTGGCGGTTGTGGAACTATTACTGTGTGTATACTGAGGGATATTATAATTATATATTTTTAAAAATCATATTCTATTTTAAACATTTCTAACAAGTTTATCTAAGACAGCGAACTATCTGCATTTCTTCTGCCACAATTTTTTTCTCTCTTGGAGTAGTCCACATGAAATTGTCTTTTCCCCCACCTTCACTATGGGGTAGCAAAACTCTGGAAATGAGAAACAAACATGGATGAGAATTTCTCAGAGCCTTAGAGTGTTTTTTGTCTCTTTAGAAATAGGAGTGTTGGCTGGGCATAGTGGCTCATGCCTGTAATCCCAGCACTTTGGGAGGCTGAGGCAGGTGGATCACTTGAGGTCAGGAGTTTGAGACTAGCCTGGCCAACATGGTGAAACCCCATCTCCACTAAAAATACAAAAATTGCCAGGCCTGGTGGCCTGTGCCTGTAATCTCAGCTACTCGGGAGGCTGAGGCAAGAGAATTACTTGAACCTGGGAGGTAGAGGTTGCAGTAAGCCGTGATCGTACCACTGCACTCCAGCCTTGGCAACAGAGTGAGACTCTGTCTCAAAAAAAAAAAAAAAAAGAAATAGTGTTTTTCCTCACAAAAAATAGCCTCAAAAGCCTTTCAAGTGATGCTGTCTTTTCTACTTTTTGTTCTTATTTCCCAACCAAGAATGTTGAGTATAGAGGAGTAACTGCCCAGAGACCCTCTCTTGTCCAGTAAGGAACAGTGTAGTTTGGCTGGCCTGGCCTGAGATTCTAGGATGTGAAGCTAGTGTTCAGAGACTGACTGTCTTAAGTTAGAGTGATACAAAGGAAGGATTCATGTGGGGTAAAAGTTCACAACCAGTCACCAGTTCTAGATTAGTGGTTGAGATGTGCTGCAAAACTATGAAAGTAAGGAGTAGCCACTGAGGCAAATTGGAAGTGTCCTAGAGAATTCCAGAACAGAATGTGATGGCCATTCACCAAAGGGACTTTTGAAATAAGAGTCATCAGAAGAATATGAAAACCAAAAAGATGATTATAGGAATATTATTAGTATAGCCCTTTATACTTTACAAAATATGCTTTCACATGCATTTTTTGTTTGCTCCTTTGTTTGCATAACTTTGTGGGAGTTATGATTTATCCCCATTTCATAGATAAAGAAGACAAATGACAGTATCACATTCAAGCCCTGAAAACCCAATTAGGTTGCATTTTGGGTGTTTTGCAGGGAGATGAGTAGTAGAACTCAAATGAAAATAACATTTTGTAGATAGAAGGGAGTAGAAATAGAGCCACTGCATTTGAGAGTGTTTTGAATAGAAAAGCTTACATAGAGCTCACTAAATGATTATTTCATCACTCCATAGTTCTTTAACTTTTTTTGATGAGGGCTTTAAAAATTTTGAGCCTCACCTCAGTCTATTAAAAAAAATTACTGATGAGATCATTATTTGACTTACGAGCTACTAGTCATTTTTCAGTCATGATTTTGTTTGTGCCCAAGCATTTAAAAGTAATATCACATAGCTTCAGTTATCTTTGCTTAATGCCATGTATGTGGGTGTGTGCGTGTGTGTGAGTGTTTGATCGCTTCAGTCCTATGAAGCTTTTATCTCTCTATTGCAAACTGTGGTAATGAATGCACTGATAAAAACAACTGGTGTTTAAATGTATCTACTCACACTACATTTGATGGGGTCTCCATTTTGTTTATTTGTGAGTATGAATGAGAAGGCAAAATCTGCCTTGGGAATTTTATAATGAATATGAGAGAGATCCTGCCACAGGTAGTTATTAAAACATCCCCTGAAGTCTTTTAAGATGAATGATTGTGTCTGTGTCTCTGACCTTTCCTGAAGGCGCTGTTTTTTAAAGAAATCTTCAATGCCCCAAGCCATTCACTTATTAAAAATTTTAAAATAAATTTCTACTACTAAGTTTTAATTTGTATAGTACATCTTCTGAATAACTCAAATGATTTTATAAGTATTATTTGATGAATCTACCCCTTTCTTCCAAAATGGAGAAAATGTATATTGATGTCTTAGCTATTTGCTACCTTTTTTGAGGAAGGGGTGGAATACATATAGAGAAATGTGGGAAGGAAAAGATAGGGGAATTGTGCCTATTAAACAAGCAGAATTCTGTTTTTCCTGTAGAAAAATAAATTGTCATGAAAATTCAAGATTTATACCAGGAAGGAGAAAAGTGATTAGTAAGATCCGAGAGAAAGGGAAGGGCTCTTTTCTGATATAAAAATAACTACTCTAAAACTACTTTAATGGGTGTTTACTTTGAAGTTTAGTTTAAAAAAGTGGGATTACTTATTTGCATGTAGTAAACATTTTGTGATGGTGTGTTGGAAATTTTCTTAAATAGCTTGACTTCAAGAAGAAAAATAAAATTGAAGTTAAAGTTTTTTTTAGCATCTACTCTATGCTAGGAATTGTGGAATTATGTTATCATCCTAGGTTACTTTATTTGATTGTCAGCATCACCTTAACTTTCTAAGTCTGTATATTACCTTCATTTAACAGATGAAGAAACAGACTTACAGAGGTCAAATAATTTGCTCTTACTTATATGGCTAGAGCTGGGAATTCACACTACTTCTGCTTTCAAACAGTTGTTCTTGTGCTTATTCACTGTTGTTCACTAGGTTTACTCTTTTTTTCCCCCTTGGCAGAGCAGGAAGACTAACTAGTTCCAGAGCCTGAATACCCTCTAGTGCTAATGTCTTTATATTAGTCAGCTATTGACACAATAATGCTGCATAGTAAACCATTTCAAAACTCAGTGGCACACACAAAAAGTATTTATTGCTCACAGAGACATCTGTGAGTCAGCTGGGCCTCTTCTGATCTATGCTGGGCTCCTTGGGTTTGTCTCCAAGTTGGGTGTTGAGATCAGCTCTGTTCCTGTCTCTTTCATCCTCCTTGGATCAGCCCCTACTCAAAACAGGTTTTTCTTAGACAAAAGGAAAACAAGCCCAACTTCCTAAGCAAATGTAAGTCCTCTGCTAAATGTCACTTCTGCCAACATTTCATTGGCCAAAGCAAATCATGGGTCTAAGCTCAAAGTCAAGGGCAAGGAAGAATACTAATTTTAAATGTGTGGGGCAGGTGCTGTGGCTCACGCCTGTAATCCCAGCACTTTGGGAGGCTGAGGCAGGTGGATCGTTTGAGGTCAGGAGTTTGAGACCAGCCTGGCCAACATGGTGAAACTCCATCTCTACTAAAAATGAAAAAATTAGCTGGCAGTAACGGCACAAGCCTGTAATCCCAGGTACTTGGGAGGCTGAGGCAGGAGAATCGCTTGAACCTGGGAGGCAGAGGTTATGGTGAACTGAGATCACGCCACTGCACTCCAGTCTGGGTGACAAAGTGAGACCATGTCTCAAAAATACATACATACATACATAAAATAAAATGTGTGGCTACAAACAGAAACATGCCTGAAAGATGATTAATTCATGAATCAAAGATCTCATCAATTAAAAGGCAAGGGGGGGCTCAAAATTTTTAAAAGCTCTTATCAAAAGTGGTTTAAGAAAACAGAAGTGAAGCAAATCGTATCACTGCACTCCAGCTTGGGTGACGGAGTGAGACCCCATCTCAACAAAGAAAAGAAAAATATAATGTAATGTATTTGTGTGTTTAGCTACGTGGTAGGGAGTAATGAAATAACCATTTACTGAGCTCTGCCTATGGTGGGAGTGGGAGAAATGACTTTATCTGAATAATAGAAACTGCCAAAATCTTGATGGATCTTATAAAGAAAATACAACTGATAAACAGCTTTCTTTTTTGTTTAATGTTTTGGGTGGCTTCTCAAAATACTCTAAGTAAATCATGTCTGTGAAAGATACTGTTTAGATTTTTATATCTTAAATACCTGGAGACTAAATGACATCAACTGACGCTGTACTGAGCTCTGGAAGTCTTTTCAAAGAATATACTTTTTTAGTCGGGCCTACTGGTATATACTTTCCATCTTTTTCAATAACTGGGGGAGGAAAGAGCATGTTAATGGTATCTAATGGTTTCCTTTTTTTTGGTCATTAGTATCTGTAATGATAAAGAATTAATATAACATTCAATGGAGTAGTTAGGATAATCACCATTTTTACTTAGACCTCAATTTAAATCCTAATCAAATTGGGAGGGGTGTTAACTCTGTAAATTCATTAACTTGGTTTATTAAAATCTAAGCCTTTGCATTGCTTACTTTTTTCAGATATTATTACCTGTAAGGAACCATTGCTTCTAGCTCATTTATATGGATAAGAATATTGATACAGGGCCTGGAGGAAATTTGTTTTGACCAAAAAGAGAACATATTCTGAGGGGCTGATATCAGCGTTATTGTTTTGCTATTAGTCAGGTAATTATAGAAAGCTTTGTTGTATTACTGAAGATGTTCATTGACTTTGTTTCTTTAGATTGGATTGTGGGGAGGAGTAGGGCAGTAAAAAGGAAGAGAGTGGAAAAGTTAAGTATTCTAAAATTTGAACTCTTCAGGAGAAACAGAAATGATATTCGTTAACTCTTCCAGGTAAAAAGGAAGAATAATTTCTAATCTTTTGGATATTGTGTTATTTTGTTATCACTTGCTCTCCTTTCCCTTTCCTCTTGAAATAATTTTTTGTTTCTTTTTTGAGATGGAATCTCATCCTGCACCCCTAGGCTGGAGTACAGTGGCGTGATCTCAGGTCACTGTAACCTTCATCTCATGGGTTCGAGTGATTCTCATGCCTCAGCCTCCCTAGTAGCTGGGATTACAGGCACCGCCAGCATAGCTGGCTAATTTTTATATTTTTAGTAGAGATGGGGTTTCACCATGTTGGCCAGGCTGGTCTCAAACTCCTGGCTTCAAGTGATCCTCCTGCCTCCTCTGCCTCCCAAAATGCTGGCATTACTGGGGTGAGCCACCTCATGTGGCCTGAAATAATATTTTTAAAGACTGATAGTGAGTTAATGTTTTGTGGTGAGAATTTAATGATTCCCATTTTGAAGTTGCTGTAGACATTTTAGGGTGTTACAAAGCCAAGACTTGAAGATTACTGCTCTGGGCTACTAAGTCAGGTGTCATTGAAGAGGTTGAAATTTAGAAGATAGGTACAGCAAAACTACTGTTCTCATAGATCTATTTATATTCATGTCTCTCTGAATTACGTACTTTTTTTGTTATAACAGTACAGCTTGGTACCTGTGTTGTGTTTGGTTCAGCATTCCAAAGATGGATGGGTGAAGATGTTTTCTTTCAAGGATCTTTTGGATATAGTAGGACATTTACACTCTGAGTGTCAAGGAGTACATCATACACATCCATATTATAATAATTGATAATTATGGCCAAAATCAATCTGTTTCTACCTTTGCTACCCTTTATAGCAATTTTTTTTTTTTTAATGTTAGCAAGAGTGTTGTACTTTAAAAGGATTAGACTCAACTTCATTATGTCAGAGCTGGTGCTTGTCTTACTCAGCACTGTATTCCCAGCACCGTGAAAAGTAAATAGAACGTAGAAGAATAAATGAATGAATGAATGAATGTTGCTATAAAAGATATGAGATCTTCCCTTACTATAAGTCTTCATCTGTACTTCTAACAAATTTTATTGAATCTGTCTCTATAATCAGAAATTTAAATGTGGGAACACAAGCCACAGTGTTTTCTGTAAAGTATATTTTAAAAGTCTAGTCTAGAAAAATTTATCCTCAAAATTTTACTTATAAATTCTCTGTGAAGAAACTTTCTTCTCTGAATTTTGCCTGTTGAATGCACATATATTTGTTTTAATTCATAAATGAAACTTCTATAGGCTTATCTTACATGGAAAAAGACAAGGAGGGAAGATTAATGAGCAAACGCAAATTACAGAGAAGCAGGAGACATCTATCATATGTCGAACTATAGCTTTATTATTAACTGCCAGGATTATTACACTGATAACTGTTCTTTTTTTTTTAAAACAAGATTTTACTTGATTTTCCAAATAAATTGTTTTTGTTATTCATATAAAATTAAATTTGATTTTTTAAATATTAAGAATACTTTTTGTGCTTCCAAACTATGTATACACTTATTTAAACATCTACAAAATTATAAAAATATTTATGATTACAAAAAGAATGATTTTATATTGTATTTTAGCTTTTAAATTATAGCCAGTGTTTTTTTTCTTTGTTTAAGTGCTGTATACTTTGTGGCGCAGAATTATATTTCTGTTTTTAAAAAGCATGTAGGTAGCTATGCTTATAAAATGATGTGAAATATTGGTGATCCCAGGATATGTGTAAGTTTTCTCTTTGATGGCTGACAATTTACATTGAGAAATTGTTTTATAGTGGCAGTTTAGCTAGGTAACTGAATATAAATTTAAATGCATTTGTTTTAATAGCATATTTTATCTTGTCTTGTTTTCTAATTGAAGAGAAGGGGCCAAAGCTAAGTTTGTATAGAATTTAAATTCACTTGGATATAGTACTTAAGCATATTAGTCAATATTTATAAAAAAAGATAGATGCACTAAAGTTCTCCTATTAAGGTTTTAAGATTATTGATTGGAAAAGAGTTGGAAAATATCTTTTTGTCCCTGTTTCTCCCTATATAGCCTTCTTGAAGTTTCTCCAAATTAGATTTTAAATGCCAATTAGGAGGTTGAGTATACTAAAATAAAAGCAAATGCAACCAAAATGGCCTCACCTTATGGCTAGTTAGGGTTTTGAGAGAATAAGCGGAACCTTTGCTCTGAGCATGGCTTTGAGAAAGATATTCATCTTAATGAACACATTAATTAGAACCATAACTATTTATAAGATAATTAGAAATGAAGCTTGGTAAACTGAGCTTTTCCTGCAATTAATGGAGGATTAATTACTGGAGGTAATGAAGTGGATTTTTAAATGCATTAAGGTGAAGTACAGAGATGAGCAAGGCTTTGTGATAGTTGCATAATTATTTCAGGCTGTTTGAGCATAGCTCATATGAGATCGTTAATAAGCATCATTGCATCGTTATGTATGCACTTAAAAAGACTTACCACCAAAATGACTGCCTAATTATTTCTAATTGGCAGGACTCTGTGTAGTCATTGAGCTGTTTGTAGCCATTTTAAGGTTCATTTAACTATCCTTGGGGCCATGTGATAGATGGAAAAAGCTTCAACTACATGCTGGCCTTGGCTGGCGCCGTTAATCAATTTTGGTGGGCTTCAGCTTAAATGCATTTTCTTGTGCAGAGGTCAAAACCTGAAGTAGTCCAAGCGAAGTTTTGCTTTTTGAAGCCACTTGACTGTATTCATTAGCAATTAGTAAAATAATTGTGTCTGTCACTATATTTGGATTTCCATATGACTTGGTATTCTTTTATCACTGTCTCTTCTTATTCCATATTTGCTCCACTGGAAACAAAATATTCTTCCAACAAACCCTTTTAGCAACTTCAGTGTAGTGGCATATGTTTCCATATACTACCTTTCTTCATTCATTTATTAGCTTAAACAGTGTAGTACATTTCAACACAATCATCTAATTTGCTCCTGATTGATTGCTGGTGAAAGTTTCTACTCAAGGACAACATTTTAGGGCTTTTAAGGACATCTCTAAGGAATTAGTCATTAAGCATTAAGAGAGGAAGTAAGAAGTAGTCAAATCCAATTCTGACATTTACCAGAGTTTTGTAGTTAGAAGCATCTATATCTAAGATGTTGAAAGCTATACATATTTTTTGCACCTATCCCCACAAGGACACATGATAACAGGCAAATTGTGTGACGGGGATAAGCTGGGTAATGTCTACATTTACTTTTAAAAGTTTCTTAAATAAGTATATTAGTAATGTAGTGCTTTTATCGAAATAATTTAGAAATCTTTGAATGTCAATTTTAAATAGTGTGTCATTCTTTATAATATAATTGATATAAAGTTTTTTAATCATATGATATCAGATTTAATGTGACATCCCATTAGCTAAGCATCTGTAAAGGTTTTCAATGAGCTTGTTGTCTTGTTACACGTAATCATAACCATGTGTGGGAGGTTGTCAAGATATATATGCCATTAGAAAGGTTTAAGAAAACAGAGGTGAAGCAAATTGTAGGCTAATAAAATAACGGTCAATTATGCCCTTTTGTTATGAAAAATGTGGTTCTAATCATTTCCTTAATGTTAATGCTTAAGGTTAAAATTATTTATGCAGAATATTTTAAGGTATTGCCAACTTTATTGAAACTAGATGTGTGTATTTAGTTCCCTTAACAAGTTCATTATTCAAGAATTTGGAGGCTTAAATGTGAATCAGGCAATGCATATTTCTTAGGAACTGACTTAATTACTGTGGACTTTAGTCTATTGTTTCAGTATTTAGAAACAAATGGATTGAACTGTTTAATCTCTCAAATCAATCAACTTGTTCTCTGCTAGAATTATGAACTTCCTTTTGCTTTTTGTTAATACCTTTTGAATATTTTGAACACATATTTTAAGAGAAAGAGGAAACGTGAAACTAATACATAGATTGCTTGTTTACAATAAGTACCCGAACTTCTACAAACTTAGATTGTATCTTAATAGAATTTTTTTTGTCTTTGGCTATTGGGAAATGCTCATCTTGTTTTTATAGCTTAGAATAAAAGAAAAATAACAACTTAGTGGTTAGGATAGAATTCCCTTTTTTTTGTAGTCAGAATTATACATTCTGTACATCTATCAAGTTGTCACAATTGTTTTATCCTTTGAGGCTGTAAATTGGATTTTAAATTTTAGATTTTGGATTAGGGTCTGTTTTATTTTTGTGGTGGTATATTTTCTTCTCTCTCTCTTTTTTTCTTTTCTTTTTTGAAGTGGGGTCTCACTCTGTCACCCAAGGTGCAGTGCAGTAGTACGATCTCGGCTCACTGCAACCTCTGCCTCTCAGGCTCTAGGGATTCTCCCACCTCAGCTTCCTGAGTAGCTGGGACCACAGGCACATGCACACCACCACACAGAGCTAATTTTTGTGTATTTTGTAGAAACAGAGTTTCACCATGTTGCCTAGGCTGGTCTCAAACTCCTGGGCTCAAGTGATCCACCCGCCTTGGCCTTCCAAAGGGCTGGGATTACAGGCGTGAACCACTGTGCCCAGGTATGTTTTCTAAATCTAGCTTTAGGTGGTTATTTTAGGGAATTGCAGTTGTGAGGCACTTATTGCTAAACTTAAATGGGCAAAATGTTAATATTTCACTCAAGTAAATCCTTTTTATGTTTCATAAGTTTGTGCAGAAAGTATGAAAATGTTGTTAGAAAATGGGACAGTGTTCTAGAAAAATGGGGCAGTATTTTAATGTTATTTTGTTGGCTTTCATCTGTATATTTAACTACACTGGTAAATAATTAGATATATTAATATGTGCTAGTTATAACTAGAAGGAAAATGTTACTCTAGGATTCCTGTGTACTTCAGTTTCTTCAAGCATATGGACATAACCAAGACAGCCATGCACATTGGGGCTTGGCTTCACTTGCTGTTTTTTGGATCTGTGGTACAACTACGTCAGGAACCTCTGGTTAGCCTCTTTGAAGGTAAGAAACTAGGGAGCAAAGGCGAGACATTCTAGCCAAGTTCCCTAAAAGCTGTCAGTCTACCTACCATCAGACTTGTGAGTGAGGGAGGGTATCGTAGACCTGGGTTTAGCAAAGTCAGATTAACTGTTTTATGCCTGTTTTTGTAAATAAAATTTTATTGAAACACAGCTACACTAATTTGTTTATTGTCTGTGGCTTCCCTCTACAATAGCAGCGTTGGATAGTTGCTACAGAGACCTCATCCCCCGCTCTCCACTGCAAGCCTAACATTTTTATTATCTAGCCCTTTAAGGAAGAATTTGTGGACTATTATTGCCCTTGATCATTTAGCTTCTACCACCATCAAATGACTCAGCTGATCCAGCTAACCACAAGAATTAGTCATACCCACTGAGCCTGGATGAACCTCCAGTTGATCTAGAGAATTGTGTGAAATAATAAATGTTTGTTGTTTTAAGCTTTAAAGTTTTGAGACAGTTTATTATGCAATAAAAAATTAACTGATGTCACATTGAAGCATACGTACCAATAGGAGAACAAGAGTGGTTTTTCCATGTGATTTGTTTAGTCACTCTCATTTTGACATATTAAAACATCTCAGTGATTTTCATTCTTTTTATTTATAGATTTTTTAAAAAACACTTTGGTAAAGTTTTTGTTATAAATTCTATTTTATTAAGATGGTGGACATAGTTGAGAAGGGTTTATTTTGTTACTATTCGTTAAGATTATAATTGTTGCAATTTTGGTTATAATTTTTGGTACAAGTGCCTCAGGGATTATCTAGATAATAATGATACTTGGTTTCTTGGCTGTAGAACTAGTAACTAGTTTATTAGTTAATGTTGGAGGATATAACAAATAGTTAACATTGCTTAAAACCATTTTGGGGTACTGTATTGGATTTCTTGTATAGCTAAGGTTGCTTTTGGTTTGAGAAATTAAAATGAAATTTTAAGCTCCCCAAACAACTGAACAGACCCCCTTTTGGCCAAGGGGACCCCAGAGAAGCTTTGAAAAGTGAGTCGCCAGCCTTCACAAGATCGGATGGGAGGTTGAACCCACCTCGTTGTTCCCGCTCCCTATAATAACAGCCATTAGACTTCCTTCCCTAAGAGTTAAATAGAAACCAGCCCTTTGGAAAGACTCCCTTCACCCCTAATATCAGCGTGATGCTGCCTTTCCCTTTTGTGGTTTTCACAAAACAACCAACTAGTATTTCTTTCAGTAAGAGACCACCAACCACAAAGTATGTACAGTGAGAGTTTTTGTGTCCTCTGCTTCACCTTTTGACATCAGAGGGATGAAAACTCAAAGGATTATGCTAACCCTTCCGTTTTTGAGCATGAGTCCCAGGGATGGGCATGAAACTGAATTGTGCATATGCATGTTTCTCCTTTCACAAATATTAATGACTCCTGCTATAGTTTACTGATTATGTGTATTTGGCCACCTCATTCAGCATAAATCCCTATCTTATTCTTCCCACCCTGGAAGTGTTTGCTTCTGGCTTCTGGCCAGAAGCTATATCTCCTAGCCTGTTGGAATGCTGCAAACCCTTTATGAGAAATAAAGCTCTTTCTACTTTCCAAATTTATGAACCTCATTCTTCAGTTGACAGATTATATTCTCTTTAAACTTCTCCTAGAGTACAATTATTGCTGCCTTATTTTTTGTTTTGATTGCCTGTTTTTCTCTGTGAGAAGATTCAGAATTGCATTCTGAAAGAAATCTTGGCCCTAACCCCATCTGCTTCTCTTGGCTCACCTAATGAATGGGATAGGTTACTCATTCTGTTCAGACTGTGGTCTTTTTTATTAAGATCCTCAGTTTCTATAAGAGGGTACTTCTAACCCTCTCTGGGTTGACTGTTACGATATATGTCTCTGTACTACAGTGGCTACATAAAATAGTTGCTCACCAGGTACTTGTCAGAGAATATAATCTTACTATTATGTAGAACCTTTCAAAACTTTGCCAAGAAGAATATTTATGCTGTAATGCTTAAGGATATATAGTATACGTATTTCTTTTTTAGTTTAAAATCAACCCCTTATTTAAGCCCAAGTCTTATATCTGGGCTTACTATATTGATCTTCTTTAGAATTGATTTTATGGAATTGTCTCTTGGCATTTAGGGAAATTATTGGAAATTACCCTGTGAAATTTATTGGAGAGTTTAATAATAAAATAAAATCTCAAGATTAGGCTTAGTTGTACCTAATTTGTTCACCTGGCTTATTTTTATTCTATGAACATTATGACCTTGCTTCTTTTGAGGCAGCTGTTGCAAAACTTGAAGCCAGATTTTTTGTTTAATTCTAGCAAATATAAGGGCCTTATGTCTTCTTTTATATGTTAACCTCTTTCTGGTCTGCCTTTTTTTTTTTTCTGTTTGCTTTTGCTCTTCCTTGTTCTCCCTTTTACCATTTTTATTGTATAGTATATATGTTTCTGGAATAATGTGAGGGTTTAAACAAGAAAGCATACCTGTGAAGTCCTTTAGACTTTTGGTGCTTGAAAAGATCGAATAAATCCACTCAGCCCATTTTCCCCACTAATTACAACTAAAAATGCTGGACCGAATACTAGCAGCAACTACTTTACAGTTTGGAAACAATAGCAAGTAGACTGGGGAGGATACTCAAAACTTAAAGAAGTGTCTCATATGCACTGAGTTGCTCATTTTTATTTCCTCTTTGCTGTCCTGGATTTGACTCAGAGTAGTCCCAGTTGTAGAATTGCACAGTGGGCAAGGGAAGCAAAGACCCTCAGAGAAAACCCTCATATTTCTAACTAGACTATGGGGAAAGGAGATCCTGTAAGCCAGAGTGTTTAGGGGCAATTATTGTTTTTTTAAATTTTTTCTTCATTTTTCCCATCTTTTCTCCCCAGCCCTCCTTTGAAGGCAGCCCCAAATATGGAATGTAGAGCTCTTATTCATTTTTCCTCTCTCTTTTCTTTCTCTGCTTTGCCCCAAGAACCACCCCAGTCATGTGGAACTGCATGATGGCAGCACAGGTAGCTCAGACTCCAAGAAAAAACCATCCTTTTTTGCCAGTGATCTGGGAAAAGTTGCTCCTGGGAGCCAGAATTTAGGAGTAACCCCAGAAAAGAGAGAACCAGAGAAAGAGATCCTCTTATTCTGTGTATGACTGGCACAAGACCTGGACTCACCCTTACACTGCATGTGAGTGGAGAGATTCAAAGGAGCATAACAAAAGCTTTGGAAACTGAACTGACATTGGAACTACAACCCACAGAATGTGAGGTAGAACTTTTGATCTAAACCAAACTGGACTGATTGCTTGCTAAAATAAACAACAAAATCAACATTCTACAGAGCATTTTGCTAGTATACACAGTCTTACAACATGATAAACAAAAGGTCCACTATATAATCCAAAGGTACTTAGCATACAAATAAGCAGGAAAATGTGACTAATATTTAAGGGAAAAGACAATCAACAGATGGCAACTCCAAGATGAACTGGATATTGGAACTATTAGATGATGACTTTAAAGTAGCTATTACAAGTGTGTCCTCCAGAGTAAAGGTAAGCCCTTCTGAAATGAATAGAAAGATAGAACTTTTTAGTAGAGAAATATAACCTGTAAAAAAGAACCAAGTAGAAATTTTGGCACTGAAAAATACAATATCTAAACAAAAATACAAAGAATGGGCTCAGTATCACACTGGAGATGACAAAGGAAGGAGTAAACCTGAAGATAGATAAATGGCCTGGTGTGGTGGCTCACATCTGTAATCCTAGCACTTTGGGAGGCTCAGGCAGGAGGATTGCTTGAGGCCAGCAGTTCAAGACAAGGCTGAACCAAATAGACAGATCCTGTATCTACCAAAAATAAAAAAATTCAGCCAGGCGTCATTGTGCATGCCTGTAGTCCTAGCTACCCAAGAGGCTGAGGTGGGAGGATGACATGAATCCTGGAAGGTCAAGGCATGAGCAAACCATGATCATCCCACTGCACTCCAGCCTGGGTAACAGAGCAAGGCTGTGTCGCTTCAACAACAACAACAACAACAACAACAAAAACCATACATAAATGAAATAATTCAATCTGAAGAACAATGAAAAAAAGAATTTAAAAACAGTGAAGGAAAACTCGGTAACATGTGAGACAATAATAAAATATCTTCTTATATGTGTGTAATTAGAGTTTCAGAACAAGAAAAGAGAGAGAATTTTGTAGAAAACATTTGAAGAAGTAATGGCTAAAAATTTTCTAAATTTGATAAAGTTATACATTTTTAGATTTAAGAAACTCAGTGAATCCCAAACAGGATAAACTGAAAGGAAACCATGCCCAGACATATTATAATCAAACTGCTAAAAAACGTAAAGGAGAATTATTTTAACTGTTCACAATTTTACCATTAAATGAAATATTTATCTTTTTGGCATTTATGTATTCTGCTTTGCTACTCAGATATGCATTAATATACTTCCTCTTGTGCATAACTGGGAACAGTTAGGAATAAGGAAAACAGTGTTTCATTTTTGTGCAATTATGAAGATACTTTTTTAAAGAACAACTTTAACATACTGTGTTGAAACATTAAAAGGAAGAAATATGTTAGTAGCACATCTCTCCTCCAAACTTATGCAGTTATCCTGACAATTGATTTAGTTGACCCTTCTAGGTTAAAAAGGTTAGCTAGCGTGTGTTTCTTCACATTTTCACCAGGGAATGTGAACCCATTTTTGGCCCTTTGAAAATTTCCTAAAATTAAACATGGCTATTCACATGTCATCATCTTTTAGGATGTTTACTTAATCTATTTTTTAATATTAGAAGCGGCTAGTAGTCTTTATTTAAAAATTCATTGTTAATTGTTTTAACTCTGTGAGGTTAAAACAATTTAAATAAGTTTAGGCTCTGCCTAATTTAGTAATGAAATAAATGTTGCATAAGTAATTGGTTGTGAAAACTTTTCATCTGAATTTGTGCTAATCATTTGCTTAGCATAGAAACTAGACTTCTTTTTTATCCCCTTTGTAAGAAACTTGATGTTGACTTAGGATATGTGGTTTTTTAAAAGATAACCTTGTTTCAGTTTTTACAGTCGATATGTATCTATCTAATTTATCTATGATAGTTACTGATTTGTATAATTAAATTTTTGCCCACTGATTTATATCTGTGATTATTTACATATACACATATCAAATATAAATCATAGGCTTTATAGAGAATATAAGACGAGTTTAACCTTGTTTATAATTATATAAATATACTTTATATGCATTTAAACATAGACTGGATTATTTATATATTTATAAAACAATCATCTATTGGTGGGGCTGGAGCAGGCAGACCATTTGCTCATAACTCAATTTTTCAGTGTCTATTGACTTTTCGTAACTCTATAGAATCTGATATTTTTAACTAAGTCAGTAGGTGCATGCTTTGCATTTAACACTAATTTGAAATATATTTATTTTTAATAAAAGCACAGTTCGTTGTTATTAAGATCTAAATCTTACTGTTATGTTAACTTCAAGTCTTCTATTGTCTATAAAACCTTCCCCAATTTTTTGCTTTCTACTCAGATTTTACATATTTATGTATGTATATATCACTAAATATACATTAAGAATTGACCAAGAAAGTCAAACAAAAATTTACTGTATGAACTAGCAATTCCACTCTTAGCCATCTACCCAAGAGAAATGTATGAAAACATTTATCCACACAAAGACTTGCACATGAATGTTCTCAGCAGCATTATTTATAATAGCCTAAAGGTGGAAACAAATGCTCATCAACTGATGAACGAATAAACAAAATGTGGTATATCTCTACCATGTAATATTATTCAACATTAAAAGGAACCAACCACTGATGAATGCTATGACATGAATGGACTTGAAAAATTATGAGAAGTGAAAGAAGCCAAGTTCAAGAAATCACATACTGTACCATTCTATTTATATAAAATATTCAGGAAAAAACAGTCTATAAAGACAAAATAGATTAGTGATTGCCTAGGGTTGGGGTGGGGGGTGGAATTAATAGTATATGAATATGAGAGATTTTCTCTGGGTGAAGAAAATGCTCGCAAGTTGATTTATTGTGGTCGTACAACTTGGTAAATTTACTAAAAAGTCATTGAGTTTTACATATAAAATGGATGAATTTTATGGTATGTAAAATATATCTCAACAAAGTTATTTTTAAAAAAAGATTCAAGATAATATATTTTCTCTCAACGTTGGGGTTGTAGCCACTCGAAGCCCTGCCTTAATGCTTGGCATTTGATAAGTGTGCTTAATGAATGGTTGATTTATTTTTTTAATGAGTTGAGCTTTCAAAATTAAATGGAGTCTAATACCTAGGAAAGTTTTCTAGAGAGACAAATCCCAAACCAATAAGTAAGCTAAATGAAGTTTATTTGTTTATTTAAAACTTTTTATTCAAGTAACCAATAATGGATAAAAATGTAGAAGTGATAAATGTTCAGCTCAATGAATTACTGTATTATAGAATTAACACTGTTGTGTAAATACTACTGAGGTCAAGAATTAGAATGTTAAGAATACCCTTGAACCCCTGCTCATACCCCTCACAATCATTATTATTTCCCAGTTCACCAAAGATAACATTATACTGACTTCTAAATCCATTTAGAAGTTTTGGCGTTTTTGAACTTTACATAAATGCACTCATTACATTAGTGTGTAATCCTTTATGTCTGGCTTATTTTGCTCAACTTTCTTCATGAGATTTATTAATGTTGTTTCATGTAGCTCTCATTCATCATTGTACAATATTCCATAATATAAACATGCCACAATTTATCTTTTAACAATGGATATCTAGATTGTATCCATTTTGGTATTACAAAGAATGGTACTAAAACCTTTTTGCTACATGTCTCCTTTGCCTGTGCATTCATTTCTTTTGTGTATATACTTTGGAATGAAATTGCTAGATTATAGAATATGTGTATGTCCAACTTGTTTATACTCATTTAAATCCCTACCATTGGTATATGAGAGTTCTCTGTGCTCTACATCCCTGCCAACATTTGCTATTGTCAATTAATTAGGCTTTAGCTATTCTGGTGGGCATATAGTACTATCCCTTTGGGTTTTAATTTTATTCCCCTGGTGATTAATGAAGTTGAGCACATTTTCATGTTTTAGTTGGCCATGTGGATAATCTCTTTTATGAAATGCTTGTTTAGTCTCATCTATTTTTATATTAGGCAATTGGTTACTTAATGATTTGTGGCAGTTTTTAAGGGTTTTTTTTCATATATTCTGGTTATAAACCCTTTGTTGATATTATTTCAAATATCTTCTTCCATTCTGTGGCTTACCTTTTTACTCTAATGATGGTGTCATTTAATGCATAAGACTTCTTAATTTTAATGTAGCAGCCTTTCCTTTGTGGTTAGTACTTTTTGTGTTTGTTAAAATCAATTGCAGTCTCTTCCAAGATCTTGAAGAAAATCTCTTAGAAACTCTATCATTGTATCTTTAATACTTAAATCTGGTATTTATTTTCATGTGTGGTGTGTATGGTATGATTTTTTTTTGATGTTCATCCAGTTGACCCATTACTACTTATTGAAAAGACCTTCCTTTTTTTCACTGTTCTCTAGGGCTATCATTGTCCTAAATCAAGTGCCCATATATGGTTGGTTCATATGGATTCTCTATTGTCTTTCATTGATGTGTTTATCCTTACACCAATTCCACGTTGCCCTACTTAATTAGTGTTGCTTAAATTAAGTCTCATATAAGGGAAATTCTTCTATCCAGTTCTTTTTTGTAAGAATATGTTGGCAAACCAATCAAACGTAGATTTGGTCTTTTTACATAGTGCCATATTTTTTTGGAGGCTTTGTTCATTTCTTTTCACTCTTTTTTCTCTAAACTTGTCTTCTCGCCTTATTTCATTAATTTGATCTTCAGTCACTGATACCCTTCACTGATACCCTTTCTTCCACTTTATTGAATCAGCTATTGAAGCTTGTGCATGCATCATGAGGTTCTCGTGCCATGGTTCTGAGCTTGATCAGGTCATTTAAGCTCTTCTCTACACCGATAACAGACAAACAGAGAGCCAAATCATGAGTGAACGTCCATTCACTATTGCTACAAAGAGAATAAAATACCTAGGAATCCAACTTACAAGGGATGTGAAGGACCTCTTCAAGGAGAACTACAAACCACTGCTCAATGAAATAAAAGAGGACACAAATAAATGGAAGAACATTCCATGCTAATGGATAGGAGGAATCAATATCGTGAAAATGGCCATACTGCCCAAGGTAATTTATAGATTCAGTGCCATCCCCATCAAGTTACCAATGATTTTCTTCACAGAATTGGAAAAAACTACTTTAAAGTCCATATGGAACTACAGAAGAATCCACATTGCCAAGACTATCATAAGCAAAAAGAATAAAGCTGGAGGCATCACGCTACCTGACTTCAAACTATACTACAAGGCTACAGTAACCAAAAAGCATGGTACTGGTACCAAAACAGAGATATAGATCAATGGAACAGAACAGAGGCCTCAGAAATAACACCACACATCTACAACCATCTGATCGTTGACAAGCCTGACAAATACAAGGGGAAAGGATTCCCTATTTAATAAATGGTGCTGGGAAAACTGGCTAGCCATATGTAGAAAGCTGAAACTGGATCCCTTCCTTACACCTTATACAAAAATTAATTCAAGATGGATTAAAGACTTAAATCTTAGACCTAAAACCATAAAAACCCTAGAAGAAAACCTAGGCAATACCATTCAGGATATAGGCATGGGCAAAGACTTCATGACTAAAACACCAAACGCAATGGCAACAAAACCAAAATTGACAAACGGGATCTAATTAAACTCAAGAGCTTCTGCACGGCAAAAGAAACTACCATTAGAGTGAACAGGCAACCTACAGAATGGGAGAAAATTTTTGCAATCTACCCATCTGACAAAGGGCTAATATCCAGAATCTACAAAGAACTTAAACAAATTTACAAGAAAAAAACAACCCCATCCAAAAGTGGGCAAATGATATGAACAGACACTTCTCAAAAGAAGACATTTATGCAGCCAACAGACACATGAAAAAATGCTCATCATTACTGGTCATCAGAGAAATACAAAGCAAAACCACAATGAGATGCCATCTCACACCAGTTAGAATGTCCATCATTAAAAAGTCAGGAAACAACAAATGCTGGAGAGGATGTGGAGAAATAGGAACACTTTTACATTGTTGGTGGGAGTGCAAATTAGTTCAACCATTGTGGAAGACGGTGTGGTGATTCATCGAGGATCTAGAACTAGAAATACCATTTGACCCAGCAATCCCATTTCTGCATATATACCCAAAGGATTATAAATCATGCTGCTATAAAAACACATGCACACATATGTTTATTCTGGCACTATTCACAATAGCAAAGACTTGGAACCAACCCAAATGCCCATCAGTGATAGACTGGATTAAGAAAATGTGGCACATATACACCATTGAATACTATGCAGCCGTAAAAAATGGTGAGTTCATGTCCTTTGCAGGGACATGGATGAAGCTGGAAACCATCATTCTTAGCAAACTATCACAAGGACAGAAAACCAAACACCGTATATTCTCACTCATAGTTGGAATTGAACAATGAGAACACTTGGACACGGGGGCGGGGGAACATCACACACCAGGGCCTGTCAGAGTGTGGGGGGCTGGGAGAGGGATAGCATTAGGAGAAATACGTAATGTAAATGACGAGTTGATGGGTGCAGAAAACCAACATGGCACATGTATGCCTGTGTAACAAACCTGCACTCTGCACATGTACCCTAGAACTTAAAGTTTAAAAACAAATATGTTGGCAAACATTGGCCATTTGCAATATAACTTTATATCAATATTTAATATCAATATACTTTTTAGAATCATCTTGACTGTTTCTAAAAGCAAAAAATGTGATTTCGTTGGGATTTCATTGACTCTACAGATTAGTATGGAGAGAATTGACACAAAATTTTCTATTTTTATGTGTGTCCGATAGGAGTTTGTCAATTCACTTTTTCAAATTTATTAGCAGGATATTGTTTTTAGCACCTTCTTTTTGTTATCTGTAGACTGTTGTCTTTTAATAATTATTTGAATCTTCTGTTTTCATTCCTGTTGTTGTTTTGTTTTTTTGTTTGTTTGTTTTTTGTTTTAAGACAAGCTCTCACTCTGTTGCCCAGACTGGAGTGCTGTGGCAGGATATCATGATCTCATGATCTCAGCTCACTGCAACTTGCACCTCCCAGGTTCAAGCTATTGTCCCACCTCCACCTCCCGAGTAGCTGGGACTACAGGTGCATGCCACCACGCCCAGCAAATTTTTGTATTTTTTGGTACAGATGGGGTTTCACCATGTTGGCCAGACTGGTCTCAATCTCTGGCCTCAAGTGATCTGCCATCTTCAGCCTCCCAGAGTGCTGGGATTACAGGCATGAGCCACTGCTCCTGGCCCCAGTTAAAGCTATTTTAGTCTCCTATTTTTCCTGATTAATCTCATCAGGGATTTATCAATTTTTAAATTCTTTTCGATATACCAACTTTTGGGCTTATTGACCAAAAAACTGTTTATTTTCTCTTGTTAATTTTCTAATCATTAATTTTTGCTCTTGAGAATTCTTTGCTTTCCACTGTTTTTCTGGCTATTCTTGGATGTTTATTTTTCTATATGAATTCTAAGTTGAACTTTTCTAGCTCTGTAGACATGATCATTGGAATTTTTTGGGGATTACATTAAATTTGTGAATTGAAACCTGGTACCTTGATGAAGTTGAGAACGGCTAGCCAATGAGAAGGAGTGTCTTTCTGTTTGTTCCAGTTTGCTTCTGTTTGTTTCAGGGATGTTTTACAGTATTTCTATAAAATTAGGTTTTGACCTTTTTTTTGTTTATTCCTAAATGTTTTATTTTTAAATTGTCGTTGCAAATGGGATTTTGTCATTTGTTATATTTACTTACTGGTTATTTGTGCAGATAGATGCTATTGATTTTTATATATTAATTTTATATTTTGCTAAGCTTGCTGAATTCTTTTATGGTTTGGGTCAATGTTATCAATTTTTCCCCCTCTGGGATTTTCTAAGTGTACTATCTGCAAATAAAAATTGTTTTATTTCCATTTCTTATGCATCTTATTGTTTTATCTTGTCTAGTTGAATTGGCTAGTACCTTGAGAATAATGTATTTGGATATTTTTAACTTTATTTTGAGATAGTTGTGGATTCACATGCAGGTAGATGAAATAATACGGAGAGATCCTATACACTCTTTGTCCTGTTTCCCTGATGATAATATTTTGCAAAACTGTAGTATGGTATCACAACCAGAATGTAGACATTGATACAGCTAAGATAGAGAGTATTACCCCAGGAATCCCTCATAGTGCCCTCTTTTGGCAAACTCACTTTTCTTTTGCTTTTAGACCCCCTTTGAAAGAAAAGATTAGGCAACCAGTAATCTGTTCTTTTTCATAATTTTTGTCATTTAAGAACGTTTTTTAAATGGAATTGTATAGTATGTAACCTTTGAGATTGGCTTTTTTCACTCACCATAACCCCCTGGAGATTTATCTATGTTGTTGTGTATATCAGTAACTTGTTCTTCTTATTGCTAAGTAGTATCTCACGGTATGGTTGTACCTCAGTTTGTTTAACTATTATCCATTGAAAGTTTTTTTTCAGTTTTGGCTGTTATAAGAAAAGTTACTATGATAATGCATGTATAGGTTTTTGTGTGAACATATTATTTTCATTTCTCTGGAATAAATACCCAAGTGTACTCTTGCTAAGTCATAGTAGTTACATGTTTCATTTTGTAATAAAGTGCCAAACTATTTTCCAGATTTGCTGTATTGTTTTAAATTCCCAGTAGCACTATATGAGCTATCCAGTTTCTCTGTGTCCACCAATATTTGACATTGCTGTTTTAATGTTATCTGATCTGATAGTTGAATAATGATATCTCATTGTAATTTTAATTTGCATTTCTCTAATGGTTAATGATGCTGAACAACTTTTCATGTACTTATTTGCTATCTGTATATCCTCTTTGGTGAAATATGTTAACTTGTTTTGTCCTTTTTTTCTAATTGAATAGTTTTTTTGTTGTTGTTGTTTTTTACTATTGAGTTTTGAGAGTTCTTTACTTAAAACATATTTTCTCCTAGTCTTTAGCTTGTCTTTTCATCCTCTTCACAGAGTCTTACAGAGCAAAAGTTTTAAATTTTGGTGAAGTCTAGTTTTATCAGTTCTTCCTTTTATGGTATCAGATCTATGCTTTTGGTGTCAAATCCAAGAATTGTTTCTCATATGTTTTCTTTCTAGAACTTTTATGGTTTTTTATTTTATCTTGAAGTGTGTGATTCATTTTTATTTAATTATCGTATAAAGTATGAGGTTTAGGTCGAGGTTCTTTTTTTTTTTTTTTTTTTTTTTGCCGTGTGTGTGTGTGTGTGTGTGTGTGTGTGTTTATGTGTCTGTGTGTGTGTAATTTTTTGTTTCTTTGAGGCACGGTCTCATTCTGTCACCCAGGCTAAGAGTCACAATCATGGCTCACTGTAGCCTCTTTCTCCCCAGGCTCAGGTGATCCTCCAGCCTCACTCTCCCGAGTAGCTGGGGCTACAGATGTGCCTCTAGACCACGTCCAGCTAATTTTTGCATTTTTCAAAAGAGGTGGGGTTTCGCCATGTCGTCCAGGCTGGTCTCTCAACTCCTGGACTCAAGTGATTCGCCTGCCTCGGCCTCCCAAAGTGCTGGGATTACAGGTGTGAGCCACTGTGCTTAAAGAGTCCACAAAGAGTCATAATTTGAAGGGATTATATGCTTTTTTTTTTTTTTTTTTGAGATGGAGTCTCGCGCTGTCACCCGGGCTGGAGTGCAATGGCGCAATCTCGGCTTACTGCAACCTCCGCCTCCCAGGTTCAAGCAATTCTCCTGCTTTAGTCTCCCGAGTAGCTGGGATTTCAGGCGCCCACCACCACGCCCGGCTAATTTTTTGTATTTTTAGTAGAGACGGAGTTTCACTGTGTTGGCCAGGCTGATCTCAAACTACTGACCTTGTGATCCGCCCACCTTGGCCTCCCAAAGTGCTGGGATTACAGGCGTGAGCCACCGCCCCTGGCCCTATGTACGTTTTTAAAAGCTCCCCAGGTAACTGATACATGGCTAGGGATGAGAATCATTGAACTAGATGATCAGCAAAACTATTTCTGTTCCTGAAAATTTATGAAATCCTTTTCTTGAACTGTGCTAGCAACTAGATGTTAATTAGGGCTCTGAGGACAAGGGAACAGAATGAATTAGGCAAATGTGGCATGCTAAGGATCCTTTTTGGATGTTCATAATATAGACTTGGCTTAGATGTGGAGTTCTGGACACATAAGAGAAATATCTGTCACCTGGGAAAGTGTCTGTATTTGGGAGGGTGTGATGGCATTTATCCCAGAGTTAAGAAAATCCTTCAAATTATGACCCTTTGTGGACTAGATTACTTTCTCATTCCCTTTGCATAAAATTCAGAATATGTGTATGCTTTTTGTTGGAAAATTAGTGATAAAAATAGTTCATTTTATACAAATTTCCTTTATGAGATTTCTTAGATGTTATCATCATAGTTTGAGAAATACAAAGCAATGTAAATTTTAACAAAAATACCTTATAGTGTTATTGTAACTTATCTGTTAGTTGTAGGTATTCTATTTTGTTGGGAAGAGGAGAAAATGACATTAGTTTCTAATATTGGGATAATTTAGGTACATGTAAAACAAATCAGATAAATATTTAAGTGAGTTTATTAAGAAAAATATTAAATAATTATGTAGATTTTAGAAGACAGGACACAAATTGAGAAAGTAGTACATGAATTTGTTTGTTTATTCATTCTTAACAAATATTTGAGTGCATTTTTTTGTGAAGGCACTATTCTAGGCACCTGGAATATTATTAGTAAAAGAAACTGCCCTTGCAGAGCTTACATTCTAACAAGGAGGATAGTCAATGAACAACAAATATAATAAATAAATTTTATAGTATGTTGGGTCTAGTACAATGGGAAAAAGAAATATAGAACAAGTTATGGAGCATTGGGAGTTCGGGAGGTTGGGAGAGAGGGCAGGTTTCAGTGTTTAACAGGATAGAACAGTTCATTAAGTTCATAATGAAAAGAAGACATTTAGCAAAGATATGAAGGAGGTGAGGGAATCTTAGATGTCTGGGGAAGTGTGTTAAGATGATAGGAAGAGCCCATGCAAAGGCCAAACGTCAGGAAGATGTCTGATGTGTTTCTGTCTTCTAAATTTTTCAAGTTAATTACAAATCATTTATTAAATTCATAATGTGAAACATGTAAGTGACATTTAATGAACAAGCTGATTTTACAAATACTTTTTCTTAGGTGATAGAGAAACTCCCTAATTGGCTTATGAGTGGGCCCCAGATTATAAATTTTACTTTAAATCCCTTCGTAATTCACTGGACTGGTAGAACTTTCAAGGATTTCAAGATATCCTACGTCTTAGGAATTTTTTTAGTTCTTGGTGTTCTGGGCTCTTTGTCTTACTCAGGCCCAAACATAGTACTTATTGCAGCCTTAGGTTTCCTTAAACTCTCAGAGTTAATGCTGTAGGCCAAATGTTACTGGAAAATACTTTGAGAGTTTGTGTTGAAATCTTTTTTCTTTTAAGCCTTTTTTGCCCAGACTGAGTGCTCTGTGTTTACGGAAAGAAGGAAAGAATGGTTCAAATAAAATAATTAGTATTCCTTTGTTCTGATACGTTTTAAATACTATTCTTCTCTCAAGGGTAGATTCCAACTTTTATTTCTCATGTGTAGCAGTTTTTTTAAAAGGAAGTTTAATTCCAGTTGTATTGTTTTTGCTAATTACTTGGGACCTTTATGAATATAATTATGATATGGTACTGAGCTGTATAGTAATGCTGTAAAGCACTATCTGGCCCCAAACTATTCTGATTTGATAATTTCTAAGGTCTAATTTTATTTTATTTTTTCCAATAGATAATTTTAAATTTTATTCTGTATTTTCCTTCTGTATGAATTTGCCAATTGTCACTCCTTCCAATATTTCCCTTCCCCTTTCTAATTCTTTACACAAATCTGTAAGTAATGCAGATAAAGATAAATAAGTTATTAATGTTATTGGTCCAGATAAAGGTAAGAAAATAAACTTACCTTCTATTTAAATTATCCATAAGGAAAACTCCAGGTGATAGTTTGAGGATTTTAAAATACTTTTCAATAAAATAAAATGGTTTTTATTATTTTTAAGATAATAGATTGAATTTTAATTTAATTATTTTTTCAATGCTAAGTTCAACTAAAATGACACTTTAAAGTTTTTTTAAAATAACCTCTTTTTCCTTTAGTCAGTAGTAAAAATGGAAATGAGTGATTGTTTAAAAAAAGAAATGCCTTTGTATTGTTTGTGTAGATTGATCTTCTAGTGAATTTATAGGTTATTCATTGTAAAATTGATTTAGTTAAGATTTTTTGCTTAAAAAGTAAAATATCAGGTGGAAATAGACATGATTATATATTGAAACCATTTTTTAGAAAGGACCACTAAAAAAAGGAGTTATAAAAATAAAAAGTAAAACAATAATTTGTAAGTTTGAATATGAGCCTAAAGATTCCTTTTCAGCTGGGTTCGGTGGCTCATGCCTGTAATCCCAGCACTTTGGGAGGCTGAGGAAGGAGAAATGCTTGAGACCAGGAGTTCAAGACTAACATAGGCAGCATAGTGAGACCCCATCTCTCCAAAAATAAAAAAATTAGTTGGGCATGGTGGCATGCACCTGTAGTCCTAGCTACTCGGGGGGCTGATGGGGGAGGATTGCTTGAGCCCTGTAGTTTGAAGCTGCAGTGATCATGGCACTGCATTTCAGATTGGGTGTCAAAGTGATACCATCTCTAAAAAGATAAAAAAGATTGCTGTTTGGTCTTATTGTTGATAAAAATCCATACATGCTAGGTGCTACTGGGGTGGGGTTTCGCTTTTAAGTTTACTTTCTTCTTTGTGTTGTTTCCAATAGTATAAAATCAATTATTTATACTGAATCTTGAACTTGAATTTAGGAATATGTTTATTAAATCATGCTGGAAACATGCAGGATAAAGATCCATGGAGAAAACTAAGAAAAAGTATAATTTTTGATTTTTCAGTTAACTAAGATGCTCTTATTCATTACTAGGTTGCCTTTGTTTCTTCTTGCCTCATGGAACAAAACCTTAAAGACATAGACTCTGTCTCTTTAAAATCTCTTCTGCTTCCTATTATATGGTTTATGAAAAAAAAAAAACAAAACCTAGAATTATTTTTAAAGCACTCACACCAAATCAAGAAATATACTAACATATGCTTCGATTTCAAGTTTTCTTTCCTCTTGTCCCTGAGCATATAACACAGTGCAGTACAATACACAATAATACAGGGTGTACCTGAGTTCTGTTTCTCATTTATAAAATATGGTGACCATTGAGATGTTTCATGCCTGAGGCATCTTGCTTTTTCAAATTCTTTCATTACCATTAAAGCCTTTTTTGGCAATTAAAATAATGACATAAACAATTTAGAACTTGTTCACAGATTCGGAAGAAAAGTATAAAACAAGAGAGTTGGAAGTCTTATTTAAAGGCAAGTGGATAGCAATCTTAACTGGTAAACTATTAGGTCTGTCCATTTAAGTTATGTTTTACATAGTTGTATGAAATCATTCAGCAAGTTCCCTGGAGCTTTATAATGTTTAAGGATACTTCTTAGTAAATAAAGCTGTCAAGTATCTTAAGTTTTTCTTTTAGCTTTAGAATAATAAAATTTGCTATAATTAAGAGATATTAATATTTTGTCCCAATAAGTTTCTATTTCATATGAATAAACTGTAAAGGCAAATTTTATATGAAAAACTTTTAATTATTTTGAGGGAGAGTGGTCTATATTTTTGTTTTATTTTTTAATGTGAAGTATTTATTAATGTTGATTACAAAGCACATAGTTTTCGGAGTTTGATTTTACAATCATATTTGTTGTTTTAAATCTTTTTTTTGATGCGTGGATTCCATAAATACTTAAAAATGTTCATGTACAGATTTAGATTTTGCACATTAGAAAACATGTTGATACTTTTTAAATTCCAAAAATAAGCTACCAGAATCAAAATTAATGTTTAATAATTTAAATTTGTGCATATGGATTTTACTATTTAAGGAAATTTTGAAATGCAGTGTCTTTGATACCTAAGTGGGAGGCTTCACACTATTTATTTGGCTAGGTGAGAAAACAGTTAACTTTTAAGATACTGGTTTACTTACTTGATAAGGACTTCTCTCTAACTCTCCACTGCAGAGATGGGCGATGCAGGAATTTGCTTCATTATCCAGTTTTATTTTGGAAAATTGTCATTTTCTTTTACAAAAAATATTATTGCTCTTTTACTTAGAGTCCTTAAAGCATTTTGCCCTCAAAAAGTCCTATTGTTTTTTACGCATTTAAAAACTAATAATAATAAATATAGCCAACTAATGAAATTATTGGTGCTGTAAACATCATTTTGCTTTTAAAAATTATTCATTCTACTCCTATATTTAAAGTAATGATTTCAGTGTTAATAAGAACTAACAAATGTGTACTCAGACTTATGAGTGTCCATGAAAAACCTCATCCAAAGCCATAAAGTTTTAAATATAATATTAGTAGCTACCAGCTGCTAAAAAAATTTCATTTGCTGATTTTATTCTTTTACCCCTTTGTAATTTAAATGCCTTTATTTAAAAGTTTAACTTAAGGATAATGTAAAGTATATAGCATTTTAAGATTAGATGGTGTCCAGAACATACAATCCAGTGAGTTAGCCCAATGTAATTGGAGGAATTATTAAATGACACTGACCTCATTTCCTTTAGAACAATGAAAATTAATAGTTTCACATTTTATTAGGCTGATATTCCAGATGTAGTGTACATTTAATTAAGTGTAGTTCCTTTTAGTTATGGTATGTGTATCTGTTTTTTGTCGAGAATTCTTTCTAGTTTTACAGTTTTCCACATGTTTTCTTTCACCATTTATGATTTTTTTCAAAGCAGAGCTATAAGGACTTAAATCACTTTAGCATGCAGCAAAACAGTTCCCATTCAAACAATAAACGCCGTTTTAAAAAGCCTTTAGATCTTCTGTCACTTCATAAATATAAATGTATAAAAATGTTATGCAGTTGTAGTGCCCACCTGCTAATTAAATGCAGATTTTCTCAAACTTGTTTAAAATCTGTCTATTTGTTTCAACTCTGTCTCTGTTCAGAATACATATGGCCCTTGTGAAACTAATTATGCTTATGGAGCAGCTGTTAAATTTAGTGCAACTACTTTTATCCAATATTTTACATTTTAATTGATTACCTGTGAAGAAATTAGCAAATTAACACTTATTGTACAGTAACTGAATGGTCTTTTATGGTTACTTTCAGATTTAACAAGGGAACCAGGCACTGATGGAATAAAGACATTTCTAGGATTTTTAGATAGGAAAGTTATTGGTGGACCTTGATTATCTGGTGTGAAAATTTAGGAAGACTGATGAGTGATGCCAAGCATCTGTGTGTTCTGTATCTTAAACATGAGAAACAGATTGGAAAGTAATAGCTTTTTCACAGAATTTTGGTAACATATGGGCTTATCTGGATCTAAGAAGTCTTTGAAGATCTTTGAACTTGACTAAATGACTTAACCTTTGGCATAGTGGGTGGGTTATATGCTTTTTTAGAGGGGAGGCACTGACTTTCTGCATTTCTCTTTTGCTTTTTTTCCCCTTCTTCCCAATTCTACCTTTAATATCTTTTCTTAAAAATGGGGAGACCAGAGATGATGATTGGGAATTTGTAAGGTTGATATGATGAGAATTCCAAAATATTTAGTTAAATGGATCTACTTGTAACAAGATAGGGTTAAATCTTTTGATAATATTTTAGAAATGAGTCTGTGTAAATCTTTATTTTCTGTTTTATAGATTTTATTTGAAAATGATACGGCCATCAGATCTCATTGGCAGTATGTCGTAGTTGAAAGGATGTGGACAAACCTGAGATTAGATTTCAGTTTTATCACTCATTGGCTCTGCGACCTCTGAACTTTTAAGAATCCAGTTTTCTCAAAGTAAAAACAAAACAAAACAGCTGTCCCCCAACAGGAGAAAAATATCCAAAACACCAAAGGAGATGATTACAACAGCTATTTGTTTGAAACTGGAGAATTGAGTGAGATAAAGTACATGAATATAGCTTGCATGCTTCTTAGCACATAGAAGATCCTTGGTAATAATAGGGGAAAGTGTTATGCCCTATCACATTGCTAAATGAGACATATACTAAACAAGCATATTATTATACATATTTTAGAGCATTAACTATTATAGTAAAGGGGAGATTGGTTTTGATTTTTATTTACTAGCTTTGCATTCTCATAGCTCAATAGTAAAACTTGATATGAGTTATAGGTCCAAATAAATGTTTCTGGCATTTTGATAAGATATATTATTCAATTGAGCAATATAACTAGAATTACATATTAGGAATATACAAGCAACCCCTCTTTACAAACACTTGATCTGCAGCAAGTAGAGGCTTGAGCCTCTGCCTCTGGTAAGGACAGTCGATCCTGGTTTTACAGTTTAGAGCATTTGACACCTATGCTGATCTGAACAGATTTCTCTAAGACAGATGAGGGTCAGTAAATAATAAAAGATGAAAAATATTTGTTTGCTTAACTTGTCTTAGTTAAAATTCAGAATGTTTATATTTTCCCCCCAAAAATAGTGTTGTTGCTGGTGGATATATTTGTATAAGGTTTCAGGTAATTTCGTGTAGGCTTATATGGATTAGACTGAAAAACTGGCCACTATGATTTTTATGGTGAGTTTCAAATAACAGATATATAAATGAAGGTTCAAATAATTTTTTTAACCTTTGAATGGAAAAATTTAAGCATTAATTGAAGTAGAGAATAGTATAATAAACTCTCATGCAGCCGTGAGATAACCTCATCACGTAGCTATACTTTACCAATATCAAGGCTTATTTTTAGGCTTTGTTAGGATGGGTCTAGGATACATTTTTTCTGGCTAATTTTGTTCCAGTGCTAATACTTGACTCTATGCAATGCCTTTGGTGTGAGGTGTCTCCACTCTGGCTAGTGGGAACTCTTTCTCCCCCTGTGTGATATTTAGGAATTTTTCTGTTTTCCAGTATATATTTCCCTGGTTCCATGGAATTTCACCTTACATTTATAGATTAGAACCTCTATTTTTCACCTCTGATTTGTAGATTAGAACTCATCAGAACATCAAGGGGATCCTACTTCAGATTTCTGTATTCCTCTTTCCATCCAACTTCCTTCTCTTTGATACAGTGCTTTGCAAATCCTAGCCACCTTGATCTACCTGAAGGTCTGTCTCTGTCTCCTTAGCTCAACACATCCACCAGGCTTTTGTTTACATTCCCTCTTCCTGCTCTATCATCTGGAAAGTTTCTAAAGGCAGTAAACTGAGGCACACCTAAGGTTCCTTTATTTCCTTTTTTGGGAATCATAATCCTAGGCTGCCTATTGCATAGTATCTGAATCAGTTGTTTCATACATTTTATCTGCTTTTCTGGTTGTTTATGGTAGAAAGATTATTTTCATAGCTTTTAACCCATATGAGCAAAAGGTGATTTAACTCTAATACTGATTATTTTATTTGTGATTTCTCTTTTAAAAAAATCATTTCCATGAAGAGTTTATCAACCTTATTAATCTTTCAAAGAATCAACTTTGGTCTTTCTTGATCTTTTGTTTCATTATTTTTTGCTTCTTTTCTCTTTATTTCTTTCCTTTAACCTTTTGAGTTTACTCTTCTGCTCTTTTTCTCTTTGAGATGGATGCTTAGATCATTTATTTTTAGCTTTTATTCTTTTCTTATATGTACACTTATGGCCCTATAAATTTTCCTCTGAGCTGTGCTTTAGCTATATTCTACAAATTTTTGATGTGTCATATTTTAGCTTTCATTTGATTCACATATTTTAAAGATTCTCATTGTGATTTCTTCTTTCCCATGGGATATATAAACATATATTACTTAATTTCCAAACATTTAGGGATTCTTCTAGTTGTCTTCTGTTTATTATTTTCTTCCTTAATTGCACTATAGTTAGAAAACATAATCTGAATGCTTTCTAACTTTGAAATGTGTTGAGGCTACCTTCGTGGCCCGCCATATACTTTATTTTAGAAAATATTATAGGTACATTTGATAAGAATGAGTATTAAGAAATTTTGAGGTATAGTTAATAGGTAAATTTAACCATGTGTTCAAATCTTCTGTGTCTTTACTTTCTAAATTTACGTTACAAATCCACAATCAAGATTCTGCCTTTAAGTTTTGTCAACTTCTGCTTTACATATTTTGAGGCTCTTTTATTACATATTTATAAATTCAGGATTGTTAGATTAATACACACGTTTGGGATTACCCTTGTCATCATGAACTGTCTCCAATAGTAGTCTTTATTTTGAAGTCTACTTTATCTGACATTGGTATGGTTTCACCATGTTTCTTTTTGTTAGTGCATGCATGATCTTTTTTTCTCTGCCTTTACTTTGAACACTTCTTTAGTTTAATACTTAAGATGTTCATTTTGAAAGCTGCTTGTAGATTGTTGCCTTCAGTTGGACAATCTTTCAATTGTATTATTTAGTCCATTTATATTTATTAATTACTGATATATTTGGATTTAATTCTACCATCTTATTCTTTGTTTTCTATTTGTCCAATCCATTTTTTCGTTTTTTCTGCTTTCTTACCTTCTTTGGACTAATTTTATTTCATTTTCTTCTCTATTAGGTGACTAGTTTATATTATTTTAATTACACCTTCAGTGACTTACCTAGAATTTGTTGCATGGTCTTGACTTACATATAAGTCTAACATAAATTACTACTTTTATTACATTTTTTTTTTCCCGTAGCTTTGATTCTTGAAGGATAGCTTGGCTGGAGTACATGGCCAATGGGATGTAACATGGCCAACACACTTTTTTCCCTCTTGAACTTCTCAAAAAAAATTAAAGCCATTGTTTTGCTGTGTATCATGCAGTTGAGAAGACTGATATCAACTTGTCTTTCTTTGTTAGTGACTTAATCAGAATATTCTTTTTCCTTTATTTTTAATGAGCAGTAACTTAATCAGGATATATCTCAGGGTTAATTATGGGTAGTTTATTTCCCCATGGTGGACCCTTTCTACATGTGGATGGCTTTAGTTACAGGACTGTTCTTGCATTATGATTGTAATAATCTGTTACCTTGTGTTTTCTTTTGGAACCTCAACTAGTTGGATGTTCATTGTGTGCCTCTTCTTTCTATAACTTTTTTCTGAAATTTTCTACTACTTTTGTTTTCTTTCTTTTGGCCCTTTTCATCATTAACATCTATGTCTCTTATTATATGAGCACCTTATAATTTAATATTCATTTCTGAGATGACTTATTTTATTTTAATTTATTTACTTATTTTATTTTTAATTTAAATAAATTGGTTTTTTTTCCCAAAATCAGATAATAGTCATTTCATATCTCCCTGTTATTTGTCCATTTTTTTCCTGGAATTTTTTTTTTTTGCTTGTTTCTTTATATTTGATTCATTTTCAAGTGTTATGTTACAGTCTTCTCTATTTCATGGTTTTTAGTGAGATATATTTACATTTTTTGAAAAATTTTGATTATTTCTGTTGCTTATAGTTGCTTTGTATGGATGTTGGATTCTCTTTTTATGTCGTTCTTGATAATTTTCTTGGATCAGCAGTAATAGACAATACTGTGGATGGACTGAAGATTTCGTATGGCTTTAACCCTTCTTGAATGACACTGTATTGTTTAGCATCGTGAGGTGGAGTTTCTTTCTTTTATTTTATTAGAAATAGGGTCTTGCTCTGTCATGCAGGCTGGAGTACAGTGGCTCACTCCAATCTTAGCTTACTGCAGCCTTCTAACTCCTGGAGTCAAGTGATTCTCCTGCCTCAGACTCTCAAGTAGCTGAGACTACAGGCATCATTTATGATCTTGTTTTTGTAGATCCCTGAACTTCAGCACCTTGTTTCCAGTTTTCCTTTATCACCAAGCCACCGGTGGACACCTCCCTTTCCAAAGCGCATCACTCCTAGAGTGTAGGTCATTAAAAAAAATTCCTTTTATTGTTATCGTTTTAGTTGGAATTTAGTAGGGAGTGAAATTAGGTGTCCATGTTCAAAATGTCATCCTGACATGGAATCCATGTTATTTTTGTTCAATGTGTAATTATTTAATTTTAATTACAGTTTTATTTTATGGTAAATGTAATCTTTATTTATAGATAGGACTTAACTGAATAGACTACTTGAAGTATTGTAGTTTTCTTTTGAACGACAAAATATTAGGGTATTTGTTTTGATTACATGTGTTTAGAACTTATTAGCCAATTAAGAAACTTGACAAATTGTTTTTTTAAGTCAGTAATTCATTTTATGTAGAGATGTTGCAGGGACTTTTCTTATTCTGTAGATATTGAAAGCATTTATCTGGTATAATAGGACATCTTGCTATCCATTTATTGCTTATATATTGGGTGTTCTAGAGTGCCACATTTTTTATCAAATGTTTCTTTGCTTATAATAGATCTCCATATTGGCTTTGGTACTCTAGAGACTTCTAGAGTGATTTATCAGAAATATACTTATTTAAGGAATGAGGGACAAATAACATCTTAAATTTTAATATAGTTTCTTTGGCTTTTTGTTTGTTTGGTCTGGGTAGGAAATCTCTTTACTCTGAACTTGTACTTTCTTCTTGAGGACCATTCAAATTTGTAAGTAAAGTTAGTTAATAAAGTAAATGGAGTTGTTCATATGTCCAGGATGTGAGTTTTATTCAAAATTGTGTAAAATCAATTCTTATGACAACTAAGAAGTTAGCAGCTTAGTTTATTTCAATCTGTGCTTGGTTTCATGGTTGTTTTTAACAGCCTTTAATAATTTTTTTCCTCTCTTTGTTTTTGCATTTACTATTTTTTTCACACGTATTTTCTTCAGAGTCACTTTTTGCTACTTGCAATCTATAAGCATGATTAAGAGGCATACAGTGTGAGGATTAAAACAATGAACATTAAGACATAGAGGGCAGGGGGAAGGTCCAATAGCTTATTCTGTGCATACTGTGCATACTGTGATGTTTTAAAACTTACTGCTTTCTTTGAATTTGACATCATGTGACTTGACTTATAGATCTGTTATTGCTATCATAGTTTATTGAACCACACCAGCAACATTTATAGAATATACCAGAATTTTCAAGAGATGAATTGCTCGTATGAAGATGTAGGGTGAATAATGAGCACAATTAGTTTGGAAAATGGCAGGCATATGTTTTCTATAGTAGAGTCCTTGTGTTAGGGAAAACTGTGAGATGGGTTTGGAGATAACTGAGCTTGCTTAATTAATTGGTAAGGTGGGAGAAGTAGAAGATTGGGAAATAAGGTGCTAGGGAGGATTGGGTAGATAGTACTTGATAGAAGACCTCACTGCTAATTGCAGTATCCCGTTTTTCTATAATGGTGATAAAAATGTGATCAGACTCTGCTTCCTCTGGGACAGTGCCAATTAAGCCCTGCTATCTTCATGTTATAGTACCTCCTTCAAGACCTGCATATGTCCCCCAAATATTTCCTTTTATCCTCCAAAGGCTTCAGGACTTGGATGATAGGTGATATGGTCTTCCTGTTAATAGCAAACCACTGAAGATCGTGTATTTGGCTGCCGAGGGTTATCTGTGAAGACAAGGATATTAGTACTTCAGATTATTATTATTCACCTTCCTATATAAAAGATATACATTGAACCTTGAGCGATTGTTATGCCAGCCTTGAGATTTTAAAGGTCTGTCAAAATCAGAATGCTGCTTTTTCATTAGCTATGGTATGAGGGAAACATATTTCATATGCTTCTGATTCAGATTTTACAAATTCACTCAAATTAGTACTTCCCTCAGTTAACTTCTTTCCTAGTGCCTGCTTCCTTCTCCCAAATAACTTGTGTTGTTTCACAACTCAGTTAGGTAATATTATTTCATTCTCATGGTAAGGTAAATATTATTGTCATTTTGCAGATAAGGAAAGAGATGCTCAGAGAGGAAATAGCTTGTTCAGGGGCACTATTATTTGAGGATTTCTTTATCTTCTAAATCTGAATACGTATGTAACTTTGAGCATATTAGTAACAGATACATTTAGTTTTAAGGGTACAATAAAAACATGATTTTACCAAAATCCACCTCATCTGGAACCACAAATGGTAGTATATTTTGTCCAACAGTATATTTTTTTAATAAAAAGGGGCAAATGAGTAAGAAATGAGCTTTTATTAGAGATTTAGTTTAAAAATAAGCTCTTAGAATTTTATTAATGTTTAAACTAACTCACCTGTCTTTTGTTACTCTGTATTTTCACAGCTAATTGCCAGAATCATATTTTGGTCCTAAATAATGTGGAACCAAATAATGAAAATAACCCGTATGTCTATATGCATATAACGTATTTATATTGGCTGAGGTTATCACAAAAAAGGCTGCCTTCCATTTATATTGTTATTGCTTTTTTATCAGAAAACTTTAGAATTTAACTGATTATTGCTCAAAGATTTTAGTAATCTGTTAAAATTTCCACGTATTTACACGTAATAGAAAATTTAATCAGAAAAGAATCAGGTAACATCTGTGGGGACAGTAAGTTGTGATGATAAAATTTTGATATAGAAAGATGCTCATGTCAAAATTAAGGAATAGTCAAGGAAGCTTATAAAGCAAATGGTAGAAATTTCGTATGTGTAAATTAGGACAATAAAATAATTAAACCTATGTTAACATTAGCAGTAATAAATATTGTGAGTTCAGGTCGACATACTAGTTCATGACTATAATCCCAGAACTTGGGGAGTCTGACACAGGAGGATCACTTGAAGCTAGGAGTTTAAGACCAGTCTGGGCAAAATAGTGAGACCCCGTCTATACACACACACACACACACACACACACACACACACACACACACACACACAGAAAAGAAATTAGCTGAGCATGGTGGCACAGCTGTAGTCCCACATCTGTAGTCCCAGCTACTTGGGAAGCTGATGCGGGAGGATCACTTGAGTCAAGGAATTTGAGGTTGCAGTAAGATACGATCATCCTGCTGCACTCCAGCCTGGCTGACAGAGTTAGACCCTATCTCAAATAAATAAATAAAGGAATGAAGAAATGTAGGAAGGAAAGGAAAGAAGAAAAGAAAAGAAAAAGGAAAGGAAAGGAGGAAGGAAGGAAGAAATTTCTTTTTTTTAAATATACACTGAATAATTATTTGCTTTTATTATATTTATAAACAGTGTTGTCATGAACACCCATGACATTCTTCTTTTGTGCTGGACGAGGAGCTTCAGCACTTTGAGATTCTTTTTTTTTTTTTTTTTAATTATACATTAAGTTTTAGGGTATATGTGCACAACGTGCAGGTTTGTTACATATGTATACATGTGCCATGTTGGTGTGCTGCACCCATTAACTCGTCGTTTAACATTTGGTATATATCCTAATGCTATCCCTCCCCCTCCCCCCACCCCACAACAGGCCCCGGTGTGTGATGTTCCCCTTCCTGTGTCCGTGTGTTCTCATTGTTCAATTCCCACCTATGAGTAAGAACATGTGCTGTTTGGTTTTTTGTCCTTGCGATAATTTGCTGAGAATGATGGTTTCCAGCTTCATCCATGTCCCTACAAAGGACATGAACTCATCATTTTTTATGGCTGCATAGCATTCCATGGTGTATATGTGCCACATTTTCTTAATCCAGTCTATCATTGTTGGACATTTAGGATAGGTTCCAAGTCTTTGCTATTGTGCATAGTGCCACAATAAACATACATGTGCATGTGTCTTTATAGCAGCATGATTTATAATCCTTTGGGTATATACCCAGTAATGGGATGGCTGGGTCATATGGTATTTCTAGTTCTAGATCCCTGAGGAATAGCCACACTGTCTTCCACCATGGTTGAACTAGTTTACAGTCCCACCAACAGTGTAAAAGTGTTGCTGTTTCTCCACATCCTCTCCAGCATCTGTTGTTTCCTGACTTTTTAATGATCGCCATTCTAATGGGTGTGAGATGATATCTCATTGTGGTTTTGATTTGCATTTCTCTGATGGCCAGTGATGATGAGCATTTTTTCATGTGTCTGTTGGCTGCATAAATGTCTTCTTTTGAGAAGTGTCTGTTCATATCCTTTGCCCACTTGTTGATGGGGTTGTTTTTTTTTTTCTTGTAAATTTGTTTGAGTTCATTGTAGATTCTGGATATTAGCCCTTTGTCAGATGGGTAGATTGCAAACATTTTCTCCCATTCTGTAGGTTGCCTGTTCACTCTGATGGTAGTTTCTTTTGCTGTGCAGAAGCTCTTTAGTTTAATTAGATCCTGTTTGTCAGTTTTGGCTTTTGTTGCCATTGCTTTTGGTGTTTTAGACATGAAGTCCTTGCCCATGCCTATGTCCTGAATGGTATTGCCTAGGTTTTTTCTAGGGTTTTTATGGTTTTAGGTCTAAGATTTAAGTCTATAATCCATGTTGAATTAATTTTTGTATAAGGTGTAAGGAAGGGATCCAGTTTCAGCTTTCTACATATGGCTAGCCAGTTTTTCCAGCACCATTTATTAAATAGGGAATCCTTTCCCCATTTCTTGTTTTTGTCAGTTTGGTCAAACATCAGATAGTTGTAGATATGTGGCATTATTTCTGAGGGCTCTGTTCTGTTCCATTGATCTATATCTCTGTTTTGGTAGCAGTACCATGCTGTTCTGGTTACTGTAGCCTTGTAGTATAGTTTGAAGTCAGGTAGCGTGATGCCTCCAGCTTTGTTCTTTTGGCTTAGGATTGACTTGGCGATGCGGGCTCTTTTTTGGTTCCATATGAGCTTTAAAGTAGTTTTTTTCAATTCTGTGAAGAAAGTCATTGGTAACTTGATGGGGATGGCATTGAATCTATAAATTACCTTGGTCAGTATGGCCATTTTCACGATATTGATTCTTCCTACTCACGAGCATGGAATGTTCTTCCATTTGTTTGTATTCTCTTTTATTTCGTTGAGCAGTGTGGTTTGTAGTTCTCCTTGAAGAGGTCCTTCACATCCCTTGTAAGTTGGATTCCTAGGTATTTTATTCTCTTTGAAGCAATTGTGAATGGGAGTTCACTCATGATTTGGCTCTCTGTTTGTCTGTTATTGGTGTATAAGAATGCTTGTGATGTTTGCACACTGATTTTGTATCCTGAGACTTTGCTGAAGTTGCTTATCAGCTTAAGGAGATTTGGGGCTGAGACAGTGGGATTTTCTAGATATACAATCACGTCATCTGCAAACAGGGACAGTTTGACTTCCTCTTTTCCTAATTGAATACCCTTTATTTCCTTCTCCTGCCTGATTGCCCTGGCCAGAACTTCTAACACTATGTTGAATAGGAGTGGTGAGAGAGGGCATCCCTGTCTTGTGCCAGTTTTCAAAGGGAATGCTTCCAGTTTTTGCCCATTCAGTATGATATTGGCTGTGGGTTTGTGATAGATAGCTCTTATTATTTTGAGATATGTCTCATCAATACCTAATTTATTGAGAGTTTCTAGCATGAAGCGTTGTTGAATTTTGTCGAAGGCCTTTTCTGTGTGTATTGAGATAATCATGTGGTTTTTGTCATTGGTTCTGTTAATATGCTGGATTATGCTTATTGATTTGTGTATGTTGAACCAGACTTGCATCCCAGGGATGAAGCCCACTTGATCATGGTGAATAAGCTTTTTGATGCACTGCTGGATTCGGTTTGCCAGTATTTTATTGAGGATTTTTGCATCGATGTTCATCAGGGATATTGGTCTAAAATTCTCTTTTTTTGTTGTGTCTCTGCCAGGCTTTGGTATCAGAATGATGCCGGCCTCATAAAACGAGTTAGGGATGATTCCCTCTTTTTCTATTGATTGGAATAGTTTCAGAAGGAATGGTATCAGCTCCTCCTTGTACCTCTGGTAGAATTTGGCTGTGAATCCATCTGGTCCTGGACTGTTTTTGGTTGGTAAGCTATTAATTGTTGCCTCAATTTCAGAGCCTGTTATTGGTCTATTCAGGGATTCAACTTCTTCCTGGTTTAGTCTTGGGAGGGTGTATGTGTCGAGGAATTTATCCATTTCTTCTAGATTTTCTAGTTTATTTGCATAGAGGTGTTTATAGTATTCTCTGATGGTAGTTTGTATTTCTGTGGGATTGGTGGTGATATCCCCTTTTTCATTTTTTATTGCGTCTATTGGATTCTTCTCTCTTTTCTTCTTTATTAGTCTTGGTAGCGGCCTATCAATTTTGTTGATCTTTTCACAAAAGCAGCTCCTGATTTCATTGATTTTTTGAAGGGATTTTTTGTCTCTATCTCCTTCAGTTCTGCTCTGATGTTAGTTATTTCTTGCCTTCTGCTAGCTTTTGAATGTGTTTGCTCTTGTTTCTCTAGTTGTGATGTTAGGATGTCAATTTTAGATCTTTCCTGCTTTCTCTTGTGGGCATTTAGTACTATAAATTTCCCTCTACACACTGCTTTGAATGTGTCCCAGAGATTCTGGTATATTATGTCTTTGTTCTCGTTGGTTTCAAAGAACATCTTTATTTCTGTCTTCATTTCGTTATGTACCCAGTAGTCATTCAGGAGCAGGTTGTTCAGTTTCCATGTAGTTGAGCGGTTTTGAGTGAGTTTCTTAATCGTCAGTTCTCGTTTGATTGCACTGTGGTCTGAGAGACAGTTTGTTATAATTTCTGTTCCTTTACATTTGCTGAGGAGAGCTTTATTCCCACTATGTGGTCAGTTTTGGAGTAGGAGTGGTGTGGTGCTAAAAAGAATGTATATTCTGTTGATTTGGGGTGGAGAGTTCTGTAGATGTCTATTAGGTCGGCTTGGTGCAGAGCTGAGTTCAATTCCTGGATATGCTTGTTAACTTTCTGTCTCGTTGATCTATCTAATGTTGACAGTGGGGTGTTAAAGTCTCCCATTATTAATGTGTGGGAGTCTAAGTCTCTTTGTAAGTCTCTGAGGACTTGCTTTATGAATCTGGGTGCTCCTGTATTGGGTGCATATATATTTAGGATAGTTAGCTCTTCTTGTTGAATTGATCCCTTTACCATTATGTAATGGCCTTCTTGGTCTCTTTTGATTTGTGTTGGTTTAAAGTCTGTTTTATCAGAGACTAGGATTGCAACCCCTGCCTTTTTTTGTTTCCCATTTGCTTGGTAGATCTTCCTCCATCCCTTTATTTTGAGCTTATGTGTATCTCTGCATGTGAGATGGATTTCCTGAATACAGCACCCTGATGGGTCTGGACTCTACCCACCTTGCCAGTCTGTGTCTTTTAATTGGAGCATTTAGCCCATTTATATTTAAGGTTAATATTGTTATGTGTGAATTTGATCCTGTCATTATGATGTTAGCTGGTTATTTTGCTCGTTAGTTGATGCATTTTCTTCCTAGCCTCGACGGTCTTTACAATTTGGCATGTTGTTGCAGTGGCTGGTACCGGTTGTTCCTTTCCATGTTTAGTGCTTCCTTCACCCACTGTCGTGCACCCACTGTCCGACACTCCCCAGTGAGATGAACTTGGTACCTCAGTTGGAAATGCAGAAATCACCCATCTTCTGCGTCACTCATGCTGGGAGATGTAGACTGGAGCTGTTCGTATTCGGCCATCTTGGCTCCACCCCCCGCAAGAAATTTCTTAATATCACATTGAGAAAGTTTGTGGGTTTATGATCCAATATTCTTCTTTATTAAGTGAACCCATTAGAGATGGACAAGGACAAATATTACTGCTGCTGAAAGCCATGTAATTCTCTTAAAGACTTACATATATCCTGATGTGGTTTGGCTCTGTGTCCCCACCCAAATCTCATCTTGTAGCTCCCATAATTTCCACGTGTGGTGGGAGGGACCCCATGGGAGATGATTGAATCATCAGGGAGGGTCTTTCTCACGCTATTCTCATGATAGTGATTGGGTCTCATGAGATCTGAAGGTAAAAACGGGAGTTTCTCTGCACAAGCTCTTTCTTTGCCTGCTGCTATCCGCGTAAGATGTGACTTGCTACTCCTTGCCTTCCACCATGATTGTGAGGCCTCCCCAGCCATGTGGAAATGTAGGTCTAATAAACCTCTTTCTTTTGTAAATTTCCCAGTCTCAGGTATGTCTTTATCAGCAGCGTGAAAATGGACTAATATATATCCTGAGTATCTAGGATGAGTTCATGTGATGTCTCCATCATCCACATTCTTTATTCTTTGGTAATTTGTATTGGTTATTTGTATTTGCTCTTTTTCTTTCATTTGATGAGTTTCGCTGAGACATTAATTTTATTGATATTCTCAGGGTACTAGATTTTGACTTTGTTAGTTTTCTCTTCCATTGATTTTTCTCTTTAATGTTTCCTTTCTTCCAACTACTTTGGATTTATAGTGCTTTGCTCTTCATTTTGTAGCTTCTTCAAGTGAAACCTTAGGTAATTGATTTTAGATATTTCTTCTTTTCTAGTATAAACATTTAAAACTATAAATTTCTCCCTAAACGTTGCTTTATCTGCATCCCACAAATTCTCATATGTTGTATTTTTCATTTTCATTCAGTTCAAAATATTTTTAAATTTCCTTTGTGCTTTCTTACTTTACTCATGGATTATTTAAAAGTGGATTATTTGGTTTCCATATATCTGGAGGTTTTCTGTATGTCTTATTGTTAAATTCTAATTTAATTCTGTTTTGGTCAGAGAAACATGTTCTGCATGATTTCTGCCTATGAATTGACCCTTTTGATCATCATGAAGTATCCATTTTTATTTTGGGTGACACTCTTAGTTTCTGAAGTATAGTTTATGTGACATTAATATATTAACTTTAGCTTTCCTGTACTTGCTGTTTATATGATGTATATATTTTTATCCATTTACTTTTTTTTTGAGACGGAGTCTTGTTCTGTCACCCAGGCTGGAGTGCAGTGGCGCTATCTTGGCTCACTGCAAGCTCCGTCTCCCAGGTTCACTCCATTCTTCTGCCTCAGCCTCCCAAGTAGCTGGGACTACAGGCATCCGCCACCATGCCCAGCTAATTTTTTGTATTTTTTAGTAGAGACAGGGTTTCACCATGTTAGCCCGGATGGTCTCGATCTCCTGACCTCGTGATCCCCTCACCTCAGCCTCCCAAAGTGCTGGGATTAGAGGCGTGAGCTACCACGCCCGGCCTGGCCATTTACTTTTAACCTATCTGTGTCTGCTTATTTAAAGTACATATTTTGTAGATAGCATGTAGTTGTTGTTTTAGATGGCATACAGTATTGCTTTTTATTAATTTGACAAACTGCCTTTTTACAATATTTTGTTTATTAATATCTAATGTACTTATTGATATAATTAGATTTAAGTCTATCATTTTATGATTATTTTATGTCTTTCCCTTCTTTTTTCTTTTTGCTTCCTTTCCAGCTTCCTTTTGGATTAATGAGTATTTTTAATAATTCCTTTAAAAGCAATCTATTGACTTTTTAGCTATACTTATTTTCTTCTTTTTTTAGTAGTTGCTCTAAGGATTACAGTATATGCTCTTAACATTTCAGTGTACTTAAAGTTATTATTTCACCATTTAATGTGAAATATAGGAACCTTTTAACAGTATAGGTTCATTTACCTGCCCCATGCTTTATTCTATAGAGGTTATTTGTATTATGTCTACTTTCAGTATAAACCTTAGAGTAAAATGCTATTATTTTTACTTTGAGCACTTATATGTGTTTTAAATAAATTAAGGGAAATAAGCAGTTTTTGATACTTACCCATTTATTTACTTTCTATTAGTCTTCATTTCCTCCTAAAGAGCCATGCTTTCATCTGTTGTCATTCCTTTTCAGCCTGAAGAACTTTCTTTAGTATTTATTGTAATGCAAGTCTTCTGTTGATATTTGTTTACTTTTCCTTTGTCTCAAAAATGTCCTTATTTTACTTTCATTTTTGAGGGATGTTTTTGCTGGGTATAAAATTCTAGGTTGACCTTTTGTTTTCTTTCACCATGTTAAGAATTTCATTCCACTGTCTTCTGATTTCCATTATTTTTGATAAGAGGTCAGTAGCAATAATTTGTATCATTGTTCCCCTGTATGTAATGTGTTGTTTTTTCCTCTGAATACTTTCAAGATTTCTCTTTACCTTTAGTTTTTATCAATTTGACTGTAGTATTTCTAATCATGGTCTTCTTAATATTTATCTTACTTGGTTTGTTGAACTTCTAATATAGAATCTGTAAATTTGTCTTTTATTAAATTTGGAAAATTTTCACTCACCACTGAAAAAATGTTTTCTGCTTCATCCTCTGTTTTCTCTATTTCTGGGTTTAAATAAACATGTTAGGCATTTGAATCTTGTCACACAGATCCCTGAGGGGCTTTCTTATTACAGTCTTTTTTCCTCTTAATTCTTCATATTGGGTAATTTTGATTGATTTATTTGCATGTATACAGATTCTTTCCTCTGTTATTACCAGTGTGCTTTTAATCTCATCCAGCATAATTTTAATTTCAGAGATTGTGTTTTTCAATTACAGAATTTTTTTTCGTATTCTGGTATTTCTATTGAGATTGCTTAACTTTATCTTCATTATAAGCCTAGTTACACTTAATGCTTTAAAATCCTTATCTGCTAATTTTAACATCTAGTTTAGTCTCAGGGTTGCTCTTCATATGCTGTCTTTTCTTTTAAGAATAGAACACATTTTTTGTGTTTCTTCATATATCTAGGAATTTTGAGTTTTTATCCTGGACAAAGTGAATATCATATTATGAATACTCTGTTATTTTCCTCGAAAAATGTACCTTTGTTTATTTTTTTGTTTAGGAGGGAAATCACATGGTTGGATTAAAATGGCAACAATTCTGTTTTGTTTGTTTTGAGATGGAGTCTTTCTCTGTCACCCAGGCTGGAGTGCAGTGGTGCAATCTGGGCTCACTGCAACCTCCACCTCCGAGGTTCAAGTGATTCTCCTGTTTCAGCTTCTTGAGTAGCTGGGATTACAGGCATGTGCCACCACGCCCAGCTAATTTTTATATTTTTAGTAGAGATGGAGTTTCACCATGTTGGCCAGGCTGGTCTCGGACCCCTGACCTCAAGTGATCTGCCCGCCTTGGCCTCCCAAAGTGCTGGGATTACAGGCGTCAGCTGCTGCACCCAGCATGAATATAAAATATATTTAATATTCACTAAGTGGAAGTGGGTCATCATAAAGGTTGTCATCCTCATCTTCATGTTGAATAGGCTCAGAAGGAAGAGGCAGAGGTGGGGTTTGCCTTGCTGTCTCAGTGGTGGCAGAGATGGAAGAAAATCCACATGTAAGTGGATCCATGCGGTTGAAACCCATGTTGTTCAAGGGTCAACCTGAGTTGTTTTTAAAAATTATCTGTAGGGTTGTCAGTCTGGTAGATTATATATATATATATATATGTTTTATCAATATTGTAACCAGAACCTGAAATAATTACTTCTTAGTATTTTACTGTAATGCATTTAATACAAAGAATAGCTGGATTGGAGTGGATCAGTATTTATATTGGAACAATTAGAAATAAGAAATAAGGTTGAATAGATAATGGAAGCAAAGATTGTAGAGAAAAGGAAAGCCTTATTCTTGTAGATTAAATTAGATACATTATTTGAGGAGATGTGAATAATTAAGACTAGATTTGAACCTTTAAGGCAAACACTTTTTAACTGCATCATAATTTCCTATAAAGTTAGCATATATATTTCCCTCATATTAAGTGAGAGCATTTACTTATAAAGAATCATATTCAGGTGCTTGCTTCACGTGGTTATTTATTTCTGAGTCCACAACTAAAACTAAGTAGTTTTTTTCAGATAATTTAAAAGAGTATTTACTTTTCACGATACAAATTATACACTAAGTTTATTTAACAAAATCTGCTTACTGTAGGTCCAGGTCAAGACCTCGTCTCCGTTCTCATAGTCGTAGCAGTGAAAGGTCCAGTCACAGAAGAACGCGTAGTCGGTCTCGGGATAGAGAACGACGTAAGGGCAGAGATAAAGAGAAAAGAGAAAAGGAGAAGGATAAAGGGAAGGACAAGGAATTACATAACATCAAACGTGGGTAAGTTGGAGCAAATCTTATCTGGTAAGGACTTGGTGATTCCATGGCGATGTTCAAACTAAATTTTTGTTCTCTGAGGTTTTTCTTGTGGCTTATTTGCTATAAGAGTAGAAGAAAATGGAATAAAAAGAGAGAATACAGTAGAGAAGGAAGAAAGGATAAATCAAAATAGTTACCTCAGATTTTTACTGTGGTACATTTTCATTTCTATTTTTATTTAATAATAATATAACAATATTGGAATCAATATAAACAGCAATATCAAAGTTTAGTATGTAAGTAGAGGAAAATTTGCCTAATTCTGTAGGAAAGTTTCATACTCTGTTTCCTTTGTTATGAGTATGAACTTAAAATTTGTAGACTACTTAGTGATTAAAAATGTCTATTACCATATTGTAAAGCTGTTAGCGGAAAAGTATAAAGTTGAAACAGAAGGAGGGGACCATGTGATTTACTATTGTTTAAGCCTTTTTTAGTATAGAATGGGAGCTTGGGCAATATTAGGGTATGTGTGTGTTTGTAAGAGTGAGTGTATCTGCTTATGAGGTCCAGATTTTATTTTTCATAGAATTGATATTATTAAAACAATGAGATTCTAGTTTTGTCCATTTAGAGACAGAACTTGAAATCCACTCATAAGTGTTTGTCAAATTAGAAAACATTAAAATGAAACAATCTTTTTTAACAGAGTAAATTTACAGCATCTTGTTTGTTTTATTCAAAATTGTAATTGGGGTCTTTTATTCTAGGAAGTAGAATCTAATCTTGGAATTTATCCTCTTTTGTCAGTCTTTCAGTGTCTTGTGTGAATATATTTATTGTAATACTTCAATATAAATGTGTTTATATTTAATGTATTAGTTTTCCATGTTGAAGAGTTTACTAGGATTGCACATATAGTATCCTGAGATCTTGATTCTATAAAGAATTATTAAGTTTATTAAAAGATACAGAACTCTTTCCTCATTCCTTTCTTTTTCACAGTTGTTTGTGTGTTTATTTTTTATTTCCAAATTTATAGTGATGTTATATAAATCTGCCTAGATTGTTGGCTTTTAAGTATTCTTTAAATGTTAAATTTGTGGTGGAGTTTGGAAGAGGATAACATATTATTATGTGACTTTTGTTCACCTGATCATCCCACAACCATTAATGTACAGTAATCAGTTATGTTCCTGTAAAATTCTGAGTTCTATCCTCTTCTAGTTTTAAGGATTGTGAAATGTTACAGGAGAGGAGTTAGAAGTTAGATACCTGTCTGTAAAGGTGGGGAGGCTGAGTTAGCCAGCACTGGTAAAATGGAATGAAGGCAGAAAGCATATTGGGAAAATCTCTTGGTAACGGGAGAAAGTCAGTAGGATGATAAATTCGAAGGGAGGATTTACATACAGTAGAGTTCTGAGTCTGGAAAATATGCTTAATGAATAAAACTTGTCAATCAAGGAACTGCCTTGCTTCTGGTTCCTTTTAAAATTTTTTCTTCTTTTGGTTTTGTTTTTAAAAATTACATGGCTGTGGAAGAAAGCTATGATTTTTACTGGTCATTAAATTTTTGCCTTCCACCTCACCAAAGTTTACTTTTTTAGAATAATACTTGTGTAATTGCATAAAATTTATATTATATAAAACATTATATGGGGAATTTTAAAGGTAAGAAATATGAGAGAGTGAATAAAACAGAAAGGTTAGATTGTGTTAAAAAGGGTTCTCATATGGTAACATTAATCTTGAATGTCTCAGCCAGCTTTACAGGTTAGACTCATCTCTCACTCATAGTTGATTGTGTTCAAGTGGACCAATTTCTGGATGGCAAGTTTACAAGATAATAGTGTTGTATTTGTCGTTATTTCTTAACATTAATTTCAACAAAGGCAATGAACAAAGTCAAAATAAGAGGTGCAAAATAAAAGGGCACTGGGGACTGATGCCAAAAAACTGTGGGTAGTCTGCATTATGGTTTTAGTGGGCCGTAGTAGAGGATAGTGTTGTGTTAGGGTGCCCTTTCCCTTGCTTAGTGCTGAGGTGCACACAGATTCTTATATTTCCTAAGCCTGATTTTCAAGCCATTCTGGACTTAGAATCTTTTGTATCACTCAGAGCACCTAATGTACATGTTAATTTTTGTTAAATATTTAATATTTAAATATTGATTATCAAATATGCACATTCATTCATCTGTTTAATTGTTCAGTCAACAGTATTTAAATGCCTTCTACTTGTCAGGTACTGTGTTAAGTAATAAGGATATAAATGTTAGTGCCAGTACTGCTTGGAGCTTTCACACAGGTGGGAATATAAACATGTGTAGAAGGGAAGATATGCAAGTGATTATAGTAAAGTCGGATGAATTTTTCCAGTAGGAAAAGTAAAAAGAGCTGTGGAAACACTGTACCAGTTAGGATGCTTTGGCTGTAACGAAACCTAACTAAGAGTAGCTTAAATTAAACCAAGGGTCAGCAAACTTTTGTAAAGGGCTAGATTAGGGGTATCCAATCTTCTGGCTTCCCTGGGCCACACTGGAAGAAGAAGAATTGTTTTGGGCCACATATGAAATACTCTAACGATAGCTGATGAGCTAAAAAAAAATCACAAAAATCTCATAATGTTTTAAGAAAGTTTACGAATTTGTGTTGGGCCACATTCGAAGCTGTCCTGGGCTGCATGTGGCCCACGGGCTGCAAGTTGGAGAAGATTGGGCTAGATAGTAAATAATTTAGGCTTTCTGGATCATTTGGTCTCTGTTGCAGCTACTGAACTTTACAACTATAGGTAATAGTAAACTAACAGGAAGGCCGTATTTCAGTAAAACTATTTATAAAAATGGGTGTCTGGCTGGATTTGGCTCAAGAGTTGTTATTTGTCATTTCTGGCTTAAACTATGAGTGCACTTACCGCTAATAATGAGCAGTTAAAAGATAAGCAGTCTGAGGCTGTTTTTATACTTCTCACAGGCTAGTCTAAGCATGTTGGCTTTCATTTTCAGTCTTGACACCTTCTGGTTGAGAGATATTTCCCTCCATAAACTTCAAGCTGGTTGATCTTAACTAGTCTCTGTGTCAGGGAAGGGCTCTCAGATGAAGTGATTTTACATATTGAAGTAAGAGATGGGGAGGAATGATCATGCAAAATGAATTTCATATGGAAAGGCTTGGAGGCATCAGGATGTGTGTGGTACAATTTGAGGGACTGAAGTCTAGTGGGGCTTGGTTTAGAGTAGAAGATAAATAATGATGAGAGATGATTATGAGAGGGCTTTGAGTATGCAGTTAATTCTGGAGGCAGTGGGATGCCAATGTAGAGTTTCAAGTAGAGAAATGATGTGATTGGGTCTACATGGGGTATGAACAAAATGCTTTACTCACAGTGGACGTAAAAAGATAAGCATCGGCCAGGCATGGTGGCTCACGCCTGTAATCTCAGCACTTTGGGAGGCCGAGGCGGGTGGATCACCTGAGGTCAGGAGTTTGAGTCCAGCCTGACCAACATGGTGAAACCCTGTCTCTACTAAAAATACAAAAATTAGCTGGGCATAGTGGTGCGTGCCTGTAATCCCAGCTACTTGGGAGGCTGAGGCAAGAGAATTGCTTGAACCCAGGAGGTGGAGGTTGCAGTGAGCTGAGATCGTGCCATTGCACTCTAGCCTGGGCGACAAAGTGAGACTCCGTTTAAAAAAACAAAAGATAAGCATCTAACATTTTAAATGTATTTTTTCAGTATCAGGAATTTTGCTAAGCATTTGACATATATTATCTCATTTAATAACCTGATGAAATAGGTGCTTTTATTATCCTATTAATATAGATGAAGGTGCTTAGGCTTGTGGTCATAGAGCTAATAAACGGCAGAGTTAGGCTTCTAATTCAAATGGACTGACTGTCACCTGCCTCTTAACGACACACTATCCTCATTTCTTTAGTAATCCATAATTATTAATGATGAACAAGAGAGTTTGAGATCAAGTGATATACTGTTGTTTAAACGTTCCTAGAAAATAGAACTGAAAGAATTTTCTGTACACTGTTTTTCCCTGATCAGCCCAGAAATCTCATTAGTAAAAGATTGATCCCTTCTTTTCTCCCTCTCTCTTCGTTCTTACTTTCCCACCTCAGCATTTCATCTATTTAGAATTATATTTAATTATCTTCACAGACAATTCCTAGGCCTTAATTAAGTTTATTTTAGTGATGGTTTCATTAGCTGTCTTTTTTCCAGGTGGCTTTAAAAAATTTGTGGAGAGAGAGAGAGGAAAAAGGATTCACAAACATTTAAATTAGGACTTATGTATTAGTTCATTGTGATTGTGCAGTGCATGACAAGTGTTTTAGCTTGTGCTAAGTAACCTAAGTGCTTCTTCACATGGGAAAACAACCTATGTGCAAAAGTAACAGTATTTAGATAGATAGATAGATAGATAGATAGACAGAGAGACAGACAGACAGACAGGACACAAAGTATATATTTATAAAGCACAAAAAGCAAGGACAGTAAGTACAGTAATGGTAAAGCAAGGTAAAGGTTGTTTATAAATTGGGAAAAACAAAACAGGAAAGAAAGGAATGCTCAAGCAGGAATTAATGAGCTTAATAATGAGGGAGAGCTTTTTTATACTTTTGAGAAAAAAATGCGAGATCAGATAATTCTGAAAAACCCTTTTTAAATAACAGCTAATTATAGTTCTGGAAATACCTAGAACATTAAAATTGTAGAATTCGTCTTATAATGTCATAAATTGGCCTGCTAATTTTATTTATCTACAGATTTAGGAAGACCTAATATAAACTGGAAAGGTCTCAGGAGTTTCTAGGGACTAAAAGATGCCTTTCCTTATAACACTGTGTGAATGATTAATATAAGAAAGACATCGAGTCCTGTCTGAAATTTTATCAAGAATGTTTAATGACTTTTAATGTTTTATATTTATAAAATTTAGTTTCTAAGAATATTTTCTCCTTTAAACACTGATACAGATTTTTCTTTTTTGTTTTCCCCCCAAATTTTAAAAATAAATATTTCTTATCTTTAGAAAATTTCATTTTTTAAAAGTGAAAGCAATTTATTAAGAAAGTAAAGGAGTAAAGAATGGCTACTCCGTAGTCAGAGCAACTGTATTTCTTTTTTTCTAATTTGTAATTTTTAGAGACAGGGTCTCATTTTGTTGCTCAGGCTGGAGTGCAGGGATGTGATCATAGCTCACTGCAACCTTGAACTCCTGGACTCCAGTGATCCTCCCACCTTAGCCTCTTAAGTAGCTAGTACTGCAAGTGTTCACCACGAAACTTGGCTAATTTTTTTATTCTTTATTTTTTCTTGAGATAAAGTCTCACTATGTTGACCAGGCTGGCCTCAAACTCCTGGTCTCAAGCAATCCTCTGGCTTTGGCCTTCCAAAGCACTAGGATTACAGGAGTGAGCCACTGTGCCAGGCCCTAGATCATTACAATTTTTATAAGGGATAATGTCTTTGCATTATGAAAACAGATTTTTCTTAATAGCAGAGTTGTTAAGTTGAAATTGGATACAACATTATTTTGTTAAACTGTTATTGAGAGTCAACAATCAGAAATAGGAAACTTGTCATGGCATCTCATAATTGCAATTTGATTTGATGATGGTGAATGTTATACATCCTATCTAAGTCTTCTGTGGATTAACATATTATTGGACCTTCTTTACCTACATCTTGATCCAAACTGCCTAACATATAGTTGACTGGTATAAAACCTCTTTAAATATGTCTTTGAAAAATTAGTTGTGAACAAATATGTAAGTAGCCACTAGTGATGTTCTACTACTCATTCTTAAATCACAGTGCCATCCTTAAAAGGGGAATTTGGATGGGATTGATTTAAATCACCAGCTAGGAAAATTTGGTTTCAGGCAGTTGTTGCCTACTGCTGTGGTTTGAATATGTCTCCCAAAGTTTTTGTGTTGGAAACTTGATCCAAATTGCGGCAGTGTTGGGAGGTGGGACCTTTATGGAAGGTGGGTCTTCCCTCATGAATGGATTAATGCAGTTATCAAGGGAGTGGGTATGCTATCATGGGAGTAGGTTTCTTATAAGGCTTCCCCCTCCTACGTGCTCTTTGCCTTTCTTCTTTGGAATGATGCAGCAAGAAGTTCATCATCAGATGCTGGCCTCTCAATCTTGGACTTCCCAGCATCCAGAACTGTGAGGCAATAAATTTTTATTCATTATAAACTAATGACCCAAACCATTGCATTCTGTTATAGCAGCACAGAATGCACCAAGACACCTACTAAAATGCTTTCTTCGTAATTTGAATAACTTTAGAATTCATTAGGAACCTAATTTTGTATTTCTAAGTGTGCCTTTCTTCATGACCTGCTACCATGAAAAGTTTTCACCGTTATTATTTCCTCATTGGATTTTCAGTAGATGGATGCTGTTCTGAGAAATGTACCCAACAAGACTTTTGGGATATTTTACTGAAATACTTGTATTTATACATTCTTCCATTTTTCTTTGTATAATTTTCAGAAGCTTTATACTTTTTGAGAGAGGTAAGAATTTGCCTCTGGATATATAATTTATTTTTCTATAATATGGGGATGGTGGTACTTAAAAAGCTGTAAGTATTATAAGCAGTGTGAATAAGAAAACTAGTACCATGTAGTAATCATACTTTATAGATATATGTTAGTTATGGCTTTAACCTTGGCAAAATTCCAGTGTCTTCAGTTTTAGAGTTTCATGTAATAAATTCCTGTCAATAAGGGGTTTTGTTTTTTATTCCCTCTACCTAGTGATTGGTAGAAGATGTTGGGAGTGATTTGGGAAAGCTGGACTCTGAGTTTTGACAGCAGTTACATACTTATAGAGTCTGTCATATTTTTCCTAACCTGTTATTTATACAGCAGGAAGTAATTTATGCTAATTTACCCCTATTTGCATATAGGTTATAGAGTTCTGTGGTGCAGAGCATGCTTAGAACTCCTTTTAAGTGTCTGTTTGGATCAAAGCAGGGCTGTGTGATAGCTGTTGTCTGACACCAAGCTGTGTGGTGTTGTTTTCATTAAACATTTATCACACTTCCAATGTGACAGCAGGCAACTTTGTGCCAGGATAACATGTCTTCATGCAAAATTTATTGAAAAAGACGAAGACTTTGTAAAGAGATCTTGTTGCCTTTCACCAGTGGCGAAGGGTAAATGTTTGGTTCGAAAGCAGTATATCGAAAGTATACCTTTAACACATGTCATTATAGCATGCAAAAAAAAAAAAAAAAGCTTCATACCGTCAATTTTGTTAAGCAGGTAAACAAATACATCTTTATATACATGTGTGCACTGGAATCTTTTTAAATTAAAGTTTTTACAGTTTCCTCATAAACCAAATGAATATTATAACATAGTGGCCCATTGTGTTGTTGGCCATTTTATATTACAGCAAAATTTACCACCCAATTTCTATTCTGTGGGTTTGAATATTTGGTATTAGTTCTGATTTAACCAAAATAATCTAATTTTTTAGAAAAGATGAGGTCAAGAAAGGGAACATAATATAACAAAAAACATTCAGCAAAAGCAGGAGACAAGGATTTCCTCAGTACTCCAAGGTAACCACCTTTCTTTTATACATTATATCAGTACATTTAAATTATCACACAGTGTGCCCAATGGGATTTGACTTGAATTATGCCTGATAACGTCTTAAATGGCATGAATTGTAGGTTCATTCTCTTTTTTGGTGATTGCTCGACTGTGAAAGCTTTAGAATGAGAGAAGGTACTTTAAATTTCCTTTTTCATTCCACAGGAGGCTGAGGAATTAGGGATATGTGAAGAAGTTAGAGGATGGGAGTAGCCTCATGCTGGACTTTTTAGTAAGTTTCATTACATGGTCTATAAAAAATTTAGTGGACCCTTTGCAAGAGGTATTACAAAAATTATGTTAGCATTAACATTCAGGAATAAAAGGGAAAGAGTACTGAGTTGTAGTGTAATGGAAGACCCTTGTCTTTGGACCGGTATGGAATGCACAGAAACCTTCAAATTCTGACTCATTATGCTTTGGAGCTACTGAGGGATGATTGTTTTTAAAACGGCAAAACCATGCCTCATACAAATATACATGAACACTTGCCAAAGATATTACTTACCTAATTAATGAGAAAATAAGTGAGACGTTACAAGTAGCTCAAAGGATCAGGAGTAGACACAAACGTAGGCTACCAAAAATCTAGCCATGAATAACGTAATAGATTCAAAACTAGCTTCTTCCACATAGGGGAAGGAAATCAATTACACCTCCACTGGACAAAATTCATTTGCCTGTTTATAGAAAAGAATTATTTGCATTGCTATCAATTATCTATAATCTATGGAGTCTAAAAATACCTCAGATAAGGAAAGGTGCCCTAGACAATATACCCGGTAGTCTTTTTTGATCATCTCAAGTCATTTACAGTTTTTTTCCTGTGAGAAGGCAAGTAACTTTTTTGAACTTTAAATTTATTATTCCATAAGATGGAGATAATGGTAATAGAGAAGATGTTAACTATTAGAAGCAGTGTGTGTCAGAAGACTAGTACTATGTAGTAGCAGCTCAATAAATGGTCATCATTTTATTTTTTATTGATAAAACAGTTTTAACTATTGGTTTTGTGATTACCAGTTTCTCAACTATCATTCTTTTTTCTCACTTTTGTGTCTTTTTAAAGGTTGTTCCTTCAGTCTGAAATACTTTCTTCTCTACTTTTCTTGCCAGTTGCTATTCATCTTTTTGGGTTCATTTTAAATTTCATTTATTTTGTAAAGTATTCCTAACTCCTCAAGAGTGTGCTGAGTACCCTTGCAGTTAATTCCCATTGTATTTGTACCTAATCTGAACAGAGTTTTGTAATGTTACGATTACAAATTACCTTGTCTGTCTTAGTTAACATTGTATTTACTTGGATTATAGTAAGTACTCAAATATTTGTAGAATGAATAATACATGTTTATTTTGAAGTTGATTTTAGGTAATTAAATCCAGCTTAGAAACATGTAAAAGTGATAACATTGCATTTTTTTTAAGCAACTTTTTTGTACTACCCCATTTCTGGTTCAAGTGTGCGTGTGCATTCACATACATACACTACTTCCATCCAAGTCTCCAGACTGCATTAAAAAAAAATCCTATGTAACTTTCACTTTTTTCTGTATTTTAAATGTTATCAATCATGCTACAGTTAGTATCATTTAGCATCAGTTGTTTAAAAAATTGAATGTCACTGCTAGGATTCATATTTTAAATACCAATTAAAATTCCAGTCCTGATTGATCACTTTTCATGCCTAGTCTAATTTATTTCAGGAACTTAATTGATATCACCTATTCTGTTGATTTTGTATATGGTTACAGGGCAGACTACCAGACTTAAACACACTATTTCATTGAGATCTTTAACTGAAGGCCTTAGTGTTTGCCTTTAGTAAGGTTATGAATGGCTTTGTAAGCTAGAGAGTCTGCACTACTGTTAGAGGAACGTAAAGGGAATAAACTTGGAGTGCCAGTCAAGTCTTTTCTTCCTAAGTAAACAAGTAGGTCCCCTAAATGCTAAGCTGTTGCTTATAATCACTCATTACAGTTCTAATTTATATCTCATTGTAAAGCATCTTGAGTATCCCTGATATGAATGATGCTAAACCAAATAGAAGCAGTCTGCTGTGTATTTTTTTAAAATTCGAGTTTATTCTGTTCTCACAGGCTTTCTCCCCAGTCTAGTGATCATTGGAGTGGCATCTCCAAAATGGAACAGATTGGAATAAACCATAATGCTTGATTGACATGTTAGATAAATCTTGGTCAGCACAAGTATAGAATCAGAAATTTATCCTCCTTTGATTAAATGGCAAAGATTGAAGAAACAGATATCTCTATGTTGGTTTATTTTTATATCCTAATGTGATATTATAGGACAGTTTTAAAGTGCCTGGTTTAAATATTCTTAATATCCTAGTATAAAATGAGTATAGCCAGATGATAGGAATAACATATGTCTCTTTGGATAGATGTAGTTATGGGGTGTACTTTTCTACTAAAGCAGAGTAAGTTGTAATGCATTCCATTTGTGTAAATGTCGTCAACATATCTTAGATTTCAAGGCAATGAAAGTATATAATAAAAGAAAATCTCCAAATGGTATCATTGGGGTTAATGCTTTTCATTTAGTGATAAAGATATGATCCTTGGGTTCCGAGATTGCATATAACTACAGGAAGATAAGGATAAATCTCAGAGAATGAACCTTGTGGGTATAAACCCAAAGCACTTTTTAATGCTATTACATATGTGATGATCACTAACATAGCAAGTGCAGTTAGGGAAATACAACAATGAGTACTGCTGTTTTAATTCTCTCTGAACTCCTGCAGGAGGTTTTGAAATTGCAGTCTTTGGCCCCTGTGGATATGCCAGCCTGTGACAGGCCACCTGGAAATAGATCATGAAAATCAATTTGGTTGTCATGTTGCAGCCTTAGCTTCTTTTTCTTGAGAAAGATAAAGGAGGGCATTCTACATTAGAAAAAGAAATGGGTAGATATCAGATTTTGAAAAATAATGTGTATTTGGAATAAGCCAGATGTGAAATTCATAACTACTTAGAAATTAAGTACACTTAAAAATTGTAAAAGGCAGTAGTAGAAGAAAAATGTTTTCATTATTCAAAGCTCTCTAGGCAAAGACAGCTTTAGTGTAGTCAGCCTTCCATACCCGCAGGTTCCACATCCATGGATTCAACCAACCACAGATCAGAAATGTTTGTGGGAAAAAACAATAAAAATAACAATACAACAATAAAAAATTATACAAAAAGTACAGTATAACTATTTACATAGCATTTACATTATATTAGGTATAATTAATCTAGAGATGATCTAAAGTATACAGGAGGATGTGTTACTGTGCTATTTTGTGTAAGGGACTTGAGCATCCTTGGATTTTGGTATTCATATTGGGTGAGTTTTAGTAGTTTTCGGTTATCAAAGAATTGGCTTATTCCATCTTAGTTGTTGAGTTTATATTCATAGAGTTGTTCATAGTATTCCCTTAGTATCTTTTTAAAATTTTTGTGTGACCTGTAGTGATAACTTCCTTTCATATCCTGATTTTTTGAGTAAGTATTGCTAGAGGATTTTTTGGGGTTCATTGATATCTTTTGTCAATGTTTTTCTTTGTTCAATTTTATTGATTTCTGTTCTTTATTATTTTTTTTCTCCTTCTTTGAGTTTATTTGTACATGTTTTTCTAGTTCCTTAAGGTAGGACCTTAGATTATTGATTTGTGATCTTTTTTCTTTTCTAATACAAGTGTTTAGTGATATAAATGTCTTTCTAAGCACTGCTTGAGCTACATCCCACAAATTCTCATATGTTGTGTTTTTATATCTTCTCAGTTCTCAATATTTTCTAATTTTCCTTGTGATTTCCTCTTTGATTCATGGATTATTTAGATATGAAATATATGATTTCAAGTGTTTGGAGATTTCCCTATATCTTTCTTTTACTGATTCTAGCTTCATTTCATTATGACCAAAAAACATACTTTGTATGATTGTAGCTCTTATAAATTAGTTAAGGTTATTTTTATGAATTAGGATATGGTCTGTCTTGGTGAATGTTCCATGTGTATTTTGCTGTTGTTAGGTCATCTGTTGTATAAATAGCAATTAAATCCAGTTGGTTGATGGGAATTTTCTATCTCTTGGCTTATTTCCATCTACTAGTTGTTGATTACTAAAGAGAAGTGTTGAAGTCTCTAACTATAATTCTGTATTTTGTTACGTCAGATTTTGCTTTGTGTATTTTTTAGCGCTTTTGTTTGGTTTTATTTGGTGTATGTTTAAGATTGTTGTCTTCTTGGTGATTTGGTGCTTTCATCTTTGTTCTTCATAGTTTTATTGCTACAAAATACACATTGTATGATATTAATATAGCTATTCTTGATGTCTTTTGATTGGTGTTGGCCTGGTATATCTTTTTCCATCTTCCATCATTTACTTTTTAACATGCTTACATCATTATATTTGAGATGAGTTTCTTGCATATAGATAGTTTTTTTTTTTTTTTTTGGGTAAATGTAGAGACAGGTTTTGCTGTGTTGCCCAGGCTGGTCTCAAAATCCTGGCCTCTAGAAGTCCTCCTGCCTTGGCCTCCCAAAGCATCTGGCCTTGTATTCATTTTAAAAATCCATTCTGAGAGTTAGTCTTTTAATTGGTGTGTTTACATGACTCACTTTAATATAATTATGGATATGTTTGGATTTAGGTCTTCCCTTCTGTCATTAATTTTCTGTTTATTTCCTCTGTTTTATTTCTGATTTCCCTTTCCTATATTTTTATGGGTTGTTTGGACATTTTTTATTACCTCATTTTAATTTCTCTGTTGTATTTTTGAGTACATTTCTGTATATAGATTTTTTTAGTGGTTGCCCTAGGAATTATAATACACGTACTTAATTCTTCACAGTCTACTTAGAATCTGTGTTTTATTGCTTCAGTTGGAATGTGGAAATGTAACTAGCCTTTAATCCTTAATTCTGAAAACCTCATGAGGCAAAGTTTATAGTTTTTGCTTTAAACTGGCAAAGATATTTTAGGATGAGGAGATTATGTTTTACTTTTACTCAGATATTTTACCATTCTCTTGTGTTGTAGGGTTAATTTTAAGTTTTGCAAATGCTTACCATTTTTGTTACTTTTAATTATTTTTCATCTTTGAGCTTCTGCTTGAGATAATTTTTCTTTATCCTGAAGAGCATCCCTTATTATTTTTGTAAATTCTCAGGTTTTAAAATTTTGTGTGAAAATATCTGTATTTCTCCTTTATTAGAAATTCAGTGAGCAATGAATTATAAGTAGACATATATTTTATTAGGTTGGTGCAGAAGTAATTGCGATTTTGCCATCACTTTTAATAGTTCCATAATATAAAGGCATAATTTTATTTTCCCCTGACTTTCTCAATTTTGTTTTAGAAGTTCTGGGTTTCTGGTTTTTAGCAGTTTTACTATGATGTGGCAGTTTTTGTTTTTTTATGATTAGCTTAAGTTCACTTTCTCTTTTTTTAAAAAAAATCTATTATGTCTAATCTGCTAAGTGTATCTGTTGAGTTCTTAATTTTCTGTAATATATTTTATATTTTCCTTATTATATTTTTGAAGTTCTAATTTTTTGTATTCTTTTTATGGTTTCCTCTTCACCAGTTCTCAATTTTATGTTTATCTTCTTTCAGCTACTAGGTTTAGTTATTTTGTAGTCTATGACTTTGATGTGTAGTCTCAATGGATTCATTTCTGTTGCCTCTGAGAGTAATCCGGGATAATATTAATCTAGTTTCAGCAGTTAAATTGCTAACTCTTACAGGCCATCAAACAAACAAAAAATTGTTTAAAAAAATTTCCAGCCATTGTAATAGTTCTTTAGAAAAAGGGTTGATTCAAATTATCGAATCTACCATTACTAGAATGGGAATTTCCATCCTATTTTATTATCTCCCACATACCTGAGCGTCCAGAGGTGAATTTGTTATCCTTCTTACTTTCCCTTCTTCCTTCCAAACCGTTGTTCGTCTGCTCTTTATTTTGAACTAAGTAAATTAAAACCTGTTCCTCTGATGCTCATGCTATTCACCATGAAACTATCTTTCCCTTCATTTTGCTGTCATAATATGTGTTAGGCAGTGCTCCTTTTTCACTAAAGACTAGCATCTGGCTTACAGTCTTCCTGTCCTTGAATCCATTTTCCAAGTCTTAAGTAGGCCAGAACTATTCTTAGAACTTCAGCTATATCTATACAGTTGCCTGTTGGACATGTCTAGAATCTGAAGTTCAATATATTCAAAACTAATCTCATGAGTGCTCCCCACCAAGAGGAGAATTAAAAGATGTGATCAAAGTTGTATGTACCTTCAGGGTTGCTAGAATATAAATTAGTAACGAGTACTGCTCTTCTCCAAAGAGTCCATGATATGACTCTTTGAGAATATGAGAATCCTCTTCTCCAAAGAGTCCGTGATATGTTACTGTAGTAGATGTAGTAGAAACAACATTAGACTGGTATGTGTGGGTTCTAGCGTTGGCTCTTCTGCTCACTTGCATGTGACTGGGCTGGTCACTTAACATCTCTGAGTTTTATATTCTTTATAAAATGTGAGGCATGGAGTAAACGGTCTCTCAAGTCCTTTTTTGTGGTAGAAAATTTGCTCACCAGTCTTCATTGAGGAGGAGTACAATATTCTGGGATTGAAGAGGAAAGCATTTTAGTATAATTCTAAATTATGATGTTAGGTTCCTCACATTAAATTAATTATCCTGAGGATTCTCTACCTTTCCCACATGCAGGAACAGTGATAACTGATGATAGCCTAGGTATTACCACCTAGCTGATGCCCTCCCTCCATTTTGTCATTTATTCATCAAATGCCAGGCACTGGGTTGTGTCTTGGAGATTCATTCCATGGTGATGGATAATAGTTATAGTGCCTAACATTATGGAAATTATGGTCCAGTGTGTGTGTGTGTGGGGGGGGAATTGTAAATATGAAATCACATAAATATCATTTTTAGTAGTAATAAAAAGCCAAGCATAAGACATGTGTAGTGCTTTGAGCAGAATATAATGGTGGGGACGGAGATGTATTTGACCTAGAATAGTTGGGGCAAACTTTCCTGAAGAAATAGGATGAGTAGGAGTTAGTGAGGGAAGGAGCAGGGAGAAGAAAATTACAGAGAGAGGAAACATCATCAACAAAGGCCTCTAGAATGGAGGGACACTGATACGAACAGGGACTGAAAGATGATCACAGAAGCTAGAATGGAGAGGAGGGGAAGCACTGTCTGAGATGGGGCCGGAGAAACAGATAGGGGCTAGACTATGCAGGGCCTTGTAAACCTGGTTAAGGATTTTGGTCTCTATCTTAAGGGTAGCAGGATGCCTTTGAAGTGGTTTAATCTGATGGGTGACATGATCAGATTAGTGTTTTGAAAAGATCACTCCAGCTGCAGTGTGGAAAACAGATTGCAGAGGGATAAGTAAGAGTGGATGCGGAGAAACCAGATAAGTAGCACAGTAATCTAGGAGAGATGTAATAGTAGCTTGGGCCAGGGATTTGGCATTGGAGATGGAAAGAAGTTGCTGAATTTGAGACATATTTATGTATTTAATGATAGGTTTGATTTGGTAAATGAGATGCAGATGTTAAGGATAACCATTAGTTTTCTGATTTATATCATTGGAACAATGGTGAGACTTTTTACTGAGCAAGGATTACATTGGAAGATGGCAGGGTATCATACATTTGCTTTGGACATACTGAGTTTGAGGATCTTTTGGGACTTTCAAGAGGAGAATGAAAGTAGTCAGGAGGATATATTGTAGGTGCAGAACTCAGGAGAGTTTTAACATGGTCTCAGGTTTTCAATTCCGTTTTATTCTTAACTCTTTAGGTATTTTACTTGGACCTTGATGACTACAGAAACCTATAAAGGGGAGGCTGCAGTAACCCAAGCAATATCTTCCATATGGCAAGATTAAATCACAGTGACTGCTGGATGTGACCCATGGGCCACAACAAAGATAAATGCATTGTGCCATGGATTACTTTGGATGCTGTTAAAATGTGTCTGGCACTATTGTAGTTACTGGAGATTGCAAAGATGAATAAGACACGGTCTTTGATCTCAAGAAACTTCCATGTAGTTTGGAAGCCAGACACACAAATAATGATAACAATGTAGTAAGAGTGCTGTGACAGAAGATGCCCACTATACTAGGGGAGCATATTGAAAGGACACTTAATCCAAAATTAGCCAGTCAAGGAAGATTTTCTGGAGGTGTTGACACTTAAACCATCTGGAAGAATATGGAAGAGGAAGTGAGAAGGAAAGGGAAAAACAGAAGGATTAAAAGGAGAGGGATTATTATATGTTTAGGAAACCATTTTTATTCCTCTTTTTTGGGGAGTAATTACCTTTTTATTGTTAGACACAGAAAATACCTTCTGGAAACAAGGTGACATCAAGCATTGTTGGTTCTTCCTTTTTTTCTTTTGTTTTCTTTCTTTCATTCTCCTCCTCTTTTTCCTTCCTCCTTTTCTGAATAGATGATATATTTCAGAATGGAACATTATATAAGGGCTTACATACAGTACAGAGTCTTATTTACATCTTTTCCCCCATCCACTCAATTCCTATTCTTTCCCTAAAAATCCATGTAATTACATTTATTAGTTTTTTAGTTATCCTTCTAGGGTTTCTTTATATAAAATTATAGGCAAATACAAATATACATTTGAAAAATTCCCTTTCCTTTTGGGATCTTTAGTTCATTCTGGCTAAAAGAAATATAAATAAATAAGAAAGGGATATAAGAGGAGGTGCCACAGGATTTTTGACTTGAAGGATTTTAACTTAGAGAAGCAACACTAAGGAGAATGGATTGAAGGCTGAGAGAGACCATTTAGGAGTCTTATGGTAAGTAATGTGCGGGAGTAATGATGAAGCCTTAATAAAGGTAGTGGCAGCTGAGAAGGAAGGAATGTTACCTAAGTGGATCTTGATCTGACTTGAGTTCAGAAACTTACCAGTTATTTAATACTGAATGATAATGTGGAGACACTAAGGATAGAATTTGGATGAATTGTTTGAATAGTCAATGGAAGAGAATGAAAATCAATGGGGTTTCCTCATGAAATGAGGAAAAGAAGCTAATGGAGAAATGGGTATAGCACAGTGGTTAATAACTTATACACTAAAGTCTTGTAGACCTGCCTTTAAGTCCAACTCTTTCATTTACTAGCTGTGTGATCCTAGTCAAGTCACTTAATCTCTCCAAGTCTTGGTTTATCTCTAAAATGGCCATGATAAACATTACTACTTCATATGTTTGCATGAAGATTAAAACAGATAATGTATTAAGGAAGGGTTTGTATCCGTGGCTCACTGGAAGGGCTAATCGTAGATAGGGAAGTCATATGATCCTTTGAAGTCAGTGAAGGTGGGAATGAGAAGGTAGTTAAGTGAAAGTAGAAAGGAACTTGAAATACTCATACATAGTTACTTTGATAGTCTGCCAATAGTTGACTTGGGAATGCCACTTGAGTCCTTTGGGCCTCAGTCCATCTGTCTGTACTCTGAAGGTTAGATGAAATGATGGCCAACGTCTTTCCAAATTTGTTCTTCTGACGCCGTACCGAAAGCCAACTTGAAAGCCTAAAACCATATATTCTATGAAGTAGGTTTCAGAATAAAAACTGTAATTCTTTCGGGTGCTATTAGTTTATTGAGTTAGATTGATTATATGCCAACACCCAGGGTATTACCTCTATCATATGTTTAAGTTTATTTTTATGTGATTGCTTCCTTGAATAATTTTGTTGCTGTTTTGACTATGAAGGATACTTTTTCTTCCTTCCTTTCTTTCTTTCTTTTAATAACCACCTTGTATTTTAAAAAGACTATTGTTTGCCTTGGTCCTTTTAATCTGCCCATGAGGAATTCAAGCTGAATGATAGGGAGCTGTGAAAATCCAGTTAGTGTGAGCTGTAATCTTTTTACTGGCTTTAAATAGTTAGAATACCATGCAGACACCCTGCAGATAACTGAATCAAAACATACAGTAATCACCTAAACATGGATTCTGCCTTTGCTGTTAGGGAACCATAGTAAAAATCACTAATAACCATTTACTTTGCAGAAAAGATATTTGGTCATGATATCAAATAAAATCAGGGTTTGATATTAAAAGCCATATTTCACAGGTAGGCAACCCAGTATTGGTGAAAAGTATTGATTTCTGAAAATTTGATATTATTCAGTATTTGTAATATCCTCTGACTATAATAGAGTCAGGAAAACATCTTTATAAAAAGAGAATATTTATAATTCTTTAATCTTTAGTCGGTTTCTACTTCAGATCTTGCTAAAGGAAAACAAAACACTAGTAAGATAATCAGGCTTTGGAACTATAATAAATAGCAAGAAGAAAGTGTGCTGCTCTTTTCTTATAAAAGAAACTGGTTCCACTAATGCAGTTTATTGAATTTAGATAGCAAAATATTCCCTAATAACTTTGTCAAATGGTGGTCTATTTTTCTAGCTTTATAGGCTGCTTTTTTTTTAAGTTGAAAGATGGATTTCTCATCCATTAGATTCTGCATTAGAGTGATGAGAAACATGGTATGCAGTATGCCGATGCTGCTTCCTAATTTCATTAGCTTTCCATTTTCTAATACTGCTGTTGATAATATTCTAGTGAAGTTTATAAAATAAAATAGTCTACTTGTTGAAACCAATATTCTAGTGTTGCTGGTATGATTCATGCTACATTAGGAGTTCGTAAGTCATTAATAATCTTTTATGTTTAGTGTATTCTTCTGAACAGTAAACTTGAACTCCTTTGTTTTGCAAGATTTGTAGGGCCTACTCCAGGACAAAGATTTCATAAAGTAGATGCCTTTCCTATGCTTATTGCTTTGCCTCAAGCAGTTTTACAGAGCTCAACCTGCCAGTTCTTCAAAATAGGGAAGCCTACTTTTCATCAAAAATATAGATTCTGAGGACTGTGTTTGCCAGTCCAGAGTCTTCATACTTAATTTTTTTAAAAGAGGTATTTATTATAGAAATATTGAAACATAAAAATGTGGAGAGATTCGTATAATGAAGCTGATTTATCTATACTTCCAACATTTTCAGTATTTGGCTGTTATAGATATGCTTGTGTACAAATGTTTTGGAAAACTGATGACAGTATTATTATATTACCTAATGTATCCATGAAAGTTCTAAAAGCCATTGCCATTTTTAGGGGATTGATAAGTTTTGGTGTGCATTTAGATTAATTGTAAATAATAGTAAGAGGGGCAGTTTACGATCAGTTATAATGTTATTTACATATAGAGCACTATGGACATTGTGCAAAACATTCTGAGGAGCACATAATTGTGGGGGACTATGCTGATACTTGCTAGTAATATTACTTATCAGTCACATAGCCTCCATTTTTTTCACATGTAACCATCTTTGCCTGTATCCTTTCTAAGGATCTGCTCCTATAGTCACATCTTAAAAAGGTAACAAGCCAAGCAACATATTGTATAACATGGTGACTATAGTTAATAGCAATGTATTATACACTTGAGAATTGCTGAGAGTAGATATTAGGTGTTTTTACCACAAAAATAAGTATATGAGGTAGTGTGTATATTAGCCCAGTTTAGTCATTCCCCCAGTATTTACATATTTCACAACATCTTGTTTGTACACTATAAATATATATAATTTTTGTCAATTAAACAAGTTAACAAGCTTGTCATTATTATTAGCTTTATGCCCCAATCAAATCTTGATGGCATATATTCATTCTCCGTCCCCCACCCCTTATATTTCCAAACCAGTAACTCTAGTATCACTTCTTAAATTGTTTGACCATTAAATATACCACTTTTTATTATCCATCACCACTTTGCTGTATTTACTTCTTTTCTGACCCAAATTAGCATCATTCTTTTCTGTGTCAATGGAAGAAATGTCTTTGTTTTTATCATTTTGCTCTGAATCCCGTTACCTTTTCTAACTGTGCTCTGTTCAACATCAGTTCCTTCCTCTCCTGGATAATTCCTACCAGCATCTTAAAAACAAAGCAAAACACAACCCTTAACTTTCACTTGACCTCTCATCTCCTCCAGCACTATTCCATTTCTCTGCTCCTCATTTCAGTAGTAATTTCGTTTATTTTCTTTATTCCACTTCTTACCTATTCACTCTTCAGCACATTTGAGTTTCTGTTCTTACCACTCCGCTGAAACCTCCATTGTCAAGTGACTTCTATTCTGCCACATCCAGTAGACACTTCTCTCTTATCTTGTAGGTTTTCTGAACAATGTTCAGCACAGTCCATTACTCATCTTTGATCTTCCTCGTATGCCCTTCGTCTTCCTCTTTCTTGAAATACCTTCCTCTCTTGATCATCTGCAATACCATCTCAGTGGCCACTCCTCTGATGTCTTTTGCCTCTGCAAATGTTGAAGCATCTCTAGACTTGGTAAGGGGGTTCCATCATTTTTCAGACTCTGTAGGTTAGGTTCAGGAAACTTTTTCTGTAAAGGGCCAGATTGTAAATATTTTAGGCTTTTCAGGCTGAGAGGCAAAATCAAAGATATTATGTAGGTACTTACAGAAGAAAAGAAAACAAATTTCCATACGTGTCAAACAAATGATTAAATTCAAACTCTAATAATTATTATTTATCTTCTTTGTCTCCACTGGTATCTTGAGTGGAGTGATATCTCCACTGATACAGACCAAGCCCGTCATCATTTTGCCACCTGATCTATAGTTTAGCTTCCTGATTTTTTTTTTTGCTTTCAATCTTGTCCTCCCCATAATCCATTATCCACACAATGTGCAGAAGGATTTCTTAAAAATGTAAGTCATGTTATGTCACTCCTCTGCTTAAATCCTTTAGTGACTTCTTTTTGAAGTTTTTATTTTGGACATTAAAGTACCACAGGCTCATGCACTCCAGTTTATCTCACGCCACTCAAGATGCTGTAGCCACACTGTTCTTTCCATTCTCTAGACCTTTGCAATTGTTGTTGCCTCTGTTTGGAATGCCTCCTCCAGGGTCTTTGTATATGGTTCTCATTCTCATTATTTAGTTTTTACTTCAAGTGTAATCTTTTTAAAGAGACCTTTCCTGAACACTGATTGTAAATTAGCTGTCCCTACCCCATTACTCTATATTCTGTTTCTGTCCTTCAGAGTACTTATCACAGTGTGTAATCATCTTGTTAGTACTCCCACCAGAATATAAACTTCAGAAGGGAAGGGTCCTTGTTCACTGCTATATCTGCAGAACATATAAATAATGCTTGATGCATAAATGGTACTGAAGTAAGATTTATACATAAATGAATTTAATGACTAAATATGTCACTTGGATTTAAATCTCAGGTTTCTTCATCACCTTTATCTGTAACTTTCATTTCTTAAGATAAAATTTTGATTTTTAAAAATTATCGTCAGCATACGCTTTAAAATTTAATGTAGAATATTTTAAGTTAAATTTTTTTCCACTCTGCTCCACATTTCCCCCATCCTGTTCCTCAGAATTAGGAATTAGAATTTACATGCATGATTTTGTGCTTCTCTGCTTTCATCTGTATGTTTATAATAGTGTTCAATATATTATATAAATGGGATTATGCTATGTAGATTTCTGCAACTTGATTTTTGTACTAACGGTAGCACTTGAGTACTAAGGCTTATTTTTAATTTTGAAATCACAGAATTTCTTTTGTGAAAAGAGTGGATGGTTAAATCCATATTCCAGGAATTAAAGGCTTTCTCATTTCCTCTGTATAAATGTCAAGGTTAAGTAGCAGTGCAGGTGGGGTATAAAGCAAAGAATCAGAATTGGAGTCTTTTCCTCCCCTCCCCTCCACTTTACATTGGATTAACTCTAATTGTTCACAACATTTGAAAGATATTTTCAATGGTAAATGATCTCATCTATTGTATTAACCTTCAACTAGTATTTTAGATATAATTATTTTTATGAACAAGCTATGAAATGTATGGTCTACTGTATAGCAGGTGATAAATTTATTTTGAGAGAAGAATATTAAAACTGTTTTAACAACTGAAAAAGAACAAAGGATATTTTCTATTTTGAAGAGAATTTAAGAAGTATCCTTTCTGGCTAAGTAAATGCCTATAAATATTGTGATAGTAGAAATACGGTATATTCAAATCTCTTTCAAATGAGGTTTTTGAAGTACCAATCTTGATAATTTTCATCTTCCTTTTAGAAAACTAGTCTTTTTGTCTGTCTTGACAATGATACTGAGTTTCCTCTGCCTCAGTACAAAAAATATTTTTTACAGATCATCATGGTAGATGTATAGCAAGAGAGACCTAGTCTAGCCTGTTTCCCTGCAGATGAGTAGAGTGTGACCACCAGAGGTTAAGTGATACATTTTTCCAAGATAGCTAGCAGGGTGAGATTTTGATATTTTAAGTTACGTAGTTGTCTAAGTAACTCTTATCTTATTGAAGACAGGTATGGGTTTTGTATTTAGAGATTTTGTATCTCCCTACTATGATTAACACCAGTATATATTAAATACATATGTATTAATCAGTAAATACAAGGAATTTTCCCAGGATTTTAAGTTTCAACCAATTGCTCTATGCCCTGTTGAACTTGCTCCCCCTTAATGACTGATTAAAGTACTCTCCCACTTTTCATTGCCTCCTGTTCAGTTACTGCTGCCCAGAGCCAGAGAGTTTGTTTGTCTTGTTAAAAAGTAAGATTTACACCCCTTTTGGTTTGGAGGCAATTAAAAGTTATAAAGACGGATTAAAGTAGAAGCATCATAGGTATATTAATGAGTTATTTGGGACTTTCTCACAGATTTCACCAAAAGAATTGTGAGAGGAAAAAGAAACTTACATCTAACAGGAAGAGAAAAGTTTTAGGAAGACCAAATTGTGAGTAAACCTATACAAGCCCTTAGAAACATTTTTACATTCAGTAGAACATTAATTACCTTTAAAATAAGGACTACTTGATAGCATTATATCAGTCAGAGTCCAACCTGGAAGGTGGAAAACACACTAGAGAATGGTACAAAAGAAAACATTGAGATAACAGATATTAAGTAATAGAAATTAGGTACCCATTCTAGGGAAATGAGAAGAGGTTAGTATTATCAGCACATAGTAACTTAGGGAATGGCAGAACTGAGACCCAGGCCTCTAATGAAGCAAAGGTGTTACTTCACTAGTGTTGGTACCTCAAGGGCTTGTGGGAGGGTCCCCATTGCGCTAGGCCCTAGACTTTTTTGAGGAATGGATACTGTTTGGCTGCTGCTGGTTCCTCTGAGGGAATGGAATGGGTCTGGATCTGAAAGGACAGGTGAAAAAAACTCTTAGAAATTAGAACTAATATTAAAGAGTTATTTCCTTCAAAGAGTTGTTGGTGGGGCAACTCTGACAGGATCAGCAAGTAAAACAGGGAAGCCCTTTTCACTTTCTCCTACTATTCATTCTTCCTCTAACAACCTCTATTAGCAGAACCTAATAGGGAGCTAGCTAGCTGGCAGAAGGGAAACATCATTTGAAAGTCCCGGCCACAGTAGGTGTATGGCTAAGGCAATAGCTTAGTAATCAGCATAATAAATTGCCATTTTTATCCCTTTACATTAGAGTCTTTCCATCTTTCTTTTCTGAATATGTAACTGTTGCTTATATCCATTGGTTCCCACCTTGGTTCAAGAGATAACAGGTGGATGTTTGACATTGCTGAGTAGGTCTTTCTCAATCTGTGTGCCCTGTGTCTAGTGTAATATAATGTTATTTGCACTTTTGTCCACAGTGACTCCATGGTAAAGTACATGACTCAGCATCCCCTTTCTTACAAATGTTAGGGGTGTGCAGTTCTGAGTCCCAGGCTTATTTTCCTCTACAAGTTTTTATTGCAAAAACCTCTACTCCTTCTTGCCCTTTTACCTTCCCTCCCTTTTCTGTATCCACCCAGAGTTTCATCTTTTTAGACTGTCCATAACAGGATTGATTTGTAGTTTGTGCATACTGGAACCCAAAATGATGTTGAAATGTATATGTTAGTAAATAAAAGACTTGTAGAATTTTGTGTAAAGGGAACTTAAGGTTGAGAAATATTTTCATGTATTAGCGTTTTTGGCCTTTTTTCTGTACTGCCCCACAAGGAGAAAAAATTAAGTTAAATGTAAATTAATTTAATATTATTTATAATTAAATGAAAGAGAAAGTAAGAAAATTAAATACTAAGATATAAGATTTTGTTGGGTTGGTTTAGCTTTGGAGGACAAAAACCATGGTAATATCTAAGGTTTCCTTTATCCCTCCTCCTTTAACCAATTTTCAACTGCTTGGGGATGTTATTGCCCCTATTCAGAATACATGCTGTATACTATATAAACACACTGTGTGTTAAGAGACTTGTGTCCTAGTCCAAGCTCCAGTGCTGAATACAAACTCAGTTACTAAATATGGACCTCCTTGTCCTGCCCTCTTCCCTCTGCCCCCAAGATTAGACGAGTGGTTTTCAAGCTTTTAAAAATTGCTTCTTTCCGCCGATTTTCTTCCTTTGCTTTCTACCGTTCCTTCCCTTTCTCTCTTCCCTACTCCTTTTCTCTTCCCTCCCTTCATCTCTCTTTTCCTCCATCTTTGTCTTCCTCCCTTGATTTTTGTTATTGACTATATAAACCTTTGTGCAAAGGAAATCTTATTGAGGATCACATGATATAAAATGAATAAAAGAAGAGCCTTGGTGGTGGTAGGTAGATACACTGATACTCTTTTACTGTCCTGCCAAACAGGCAAAGGTAGTTTGAAAACCACTAGTCTAGAAGAATCATATGTTACGATTCAGTAAGTTGAAAGGCTATTTGGAAAGCATTGGAGAGAAATGTGAATTAATTTTCTAGACCAGGGATCAGAAACTTTGTTCTGTAAAAGTCCAGATAGTAAATATTTTCAGCTTTGTGGGCATACAATCTCTGTTACCACTACTTAACTCTGTTCCTGTGGTTTGAAAGAAACCATAGACAATAGATGAATAGGCATGTCTGTGTTGCTGGAAACATTATTTACAAAAATAGGCAGTGGGACCACTTTGGCCTGAGGGCTATAGTTTGTCACCTCCTGGTCTAGACTGCCAAACCCTGTTGTATAGAATAGTGCTCTCCAAAATGAGGTGCAAACCATTGCTGATTGCACCCACCTAAGTTAAATAGATTTTTTTATCATACTTCCCCAACATATGTGTTGGGGAACTAGTTTATTCAAAAATTAAATTCATCGATTTGAATCAAGGAAGTAATTAGAATTATAAAAATTACAGTAAGATGCTTCTTATTTTAGTGGATAAGAAAATTTACTTTGTCATATCTGAACATAATAAAATCTCCATAGGGAACTTTAATGATGGTATTCTTTAACTATTAGGAAAGGGATGGATGCTGACAGACCTGGTAAAAGAATGACAGAATACTCAGGGAATAAGTAATCTGGTGCTTCAGTGAAGCAATTTCAGGCCCTCTTTTTCTTGCATTTTAACAAAGAATAGGCAGGTCCTTAGATATTTGTTAATTGAGCAGTTATCCCAAGAGGGTAGTATTACCTTTATAATTTTGTTTATATAAGGTAGTAAACCATTGAGAACTACATAGAGTTTGAATCTGGATAACTTTAGATTCTTATATTCTGAAACTAATGGGGGGAAACCCTCTTTTTAGATCCCATATCATAACTTTTCCATTATAATACCTGAATTCGACTATCATTATTGATAAAATTCCTTAAAAAAAATTGAGGCTATTGTGATTTATCAAACTATCATTAGATGAAAGCAGTTTAAGACTGAAAATACATCTACCAGGCTTTAAACTTATTTTTGTGCTGATAACGATTTTATAAATTCCAGGTTTCTAAATGAAGTAGATAGTGTTCTAGGGCTGTTGTTTATATATGTGTGTGTGTATATATATATGTGTGTGTGTATATATATGTGTGTATATATGTCTATGATCATAGACACACGTGTGTATATATGTATATAAACACACATACGTGTATATATGTATATAAACACATACGTGTAATGTGTATATAAACACACATACGTGTATATGTGTGTATAAACACACATACGTGTATATGTGTGTATAAACACACATACGTGTATATGTGTGTATAAACACACATACGTGTATATGTGTGTATAAACACACATACGTGTATATGTGTGTATAAACACACATACGTGTATATGTGTGTATAAACACGTGTATATGTGTGTATAAACACACATACGTGTATATGTGTATATAAACATACGTGTATATGTGTATATAAACATACATACGTGTATATATGTATATAAACATATGTGTATGTGTAAACATACATATATGTGTATATATGTATACACACATACACGTATATGTGTATGTATGTATATAAACATACATGTATATGTGTATGTATGTATATAAACATACACACACGTATATGTGTATGTATGTATATAAACATACACAGGTATATGTGTATGTATGTATATATATACACATATACACACGTATATGTGTATGTATGTGTATATATATACACATACACACGTATATGTGTATGTATGTATGTATATACACATATACACACGTATATGTGTATGTATATACATAATTATATTCACAAACACACATTTTTTAGAGTAACCTTTCCTTGCCTTTTAATTGTGTGTGTGTGTGTTTTTTGTTTTTTTTTTTTAGAGCTGTCAAATTTTAAGGAGGTAAGTTTCTGGTTGTGATTGAAAGCACTGTGTGGGAGTTAATATGCCTAGTCAAAATATTTTTGAAACTCTTTATTTGATACAATTTCACATTAACAAAGAAGTTGCAAGAAGAGCATAAAGAACTTGTATATGCCCTTTATCCAGACTCATCAATTGTTTACATTTTGCCCCATTTGCTTTATCAAATTCTCTTTGTTTCTCTTGACTACACACATGTATATTTGTCTGAACCAGTGAAGAGTAAGTTGCAGGCACCAGTCTCTTTAGCCCTAATATTTCTGTGTAAGAATTTTTTACATAGCTAAAGTACAATAATCAAAATTAAGAAATTTAACATTTGTACAATATGATTTTCTAAGCCGGAGTTCATAGTCCAGCAGTCCATGGTCCCAGTTAATGTCATATTCCTATTGATGCATCAATCACAGCTCCCCTTCACCTAGGATGCGATCTAGGATCATATACTGCAGTTAGTTGTCATGTCTTTTTAAGTTTCCTTTAATATAGAGCAGTATCTCAGTTTTTATTTGTCTTTCATTACCTTGATATTTTTTAAGGTATAGCCTGGTTGTTTTATACTGTGTGCCTCAATTTGGGTTTGTCTAATGTTTCTTCATGATTGGAATCAGGTTGTGTATTTCTTTCTTTCTTTTTTGCCAGGAATACCAAAAAAGTGGTATCATGTCCTGTTTAGTACATCATATCAGAAATCACAGGATGTTGGTTTGCCCCATTAATGGCAATGTTAACTTTGATCATTTCATGAAGGTCCAATTAAAATCTGATTTGGCAGTCTAAGCAAAGATAATTTTTATAGTGGTAATATTTCTAAAGCCCACGTTTCTTCCTCAATAAATTACGTGCTTTATTTTCTCCATATATGTTCCTTCTTCCTCATTTGGGAAACAAAACAAAACAACAGGGTCTTGTTTAATATGGTGAAGCAACAGAGTGAAGTTAAGTGAATAAATGAAATAAAACATATCATTCTGCTACAGCAATTTTAGGAAGTTTATTATTCATAGTCTGTATACATACTGTCTTATTAGAAGATGCTATATTTTAAAACTTACCTAAAGAGTTGTTATGATACAGAATTATAATATTTTTGTTTTCTTAAGAGTTTTCATATTTTATTCCTTTTCTCTTGCAGTACTGCACCCTATTCATATGATTACTCTCATTGTTTTTATTACCGCTCTTCCATATCAAATCTGGAATACTTCATTATTTGTATACTCCTCTTAGATAAATTGTAAATTATGAAACATAAATACAAAAAGCATGACATGATATTAGATAAATACATGGATTCAAGGTGAGTTGTATTTTAAGATGAGAAGGACTGTCACACGTCCTTTCTCCTGCCTTCAAAGAAAGTTTTCCTGAAGGATTAGAATGTATACTTTTAAAGTCCTTGACACAAGAAAATTCCAGTCTCCTTTAGAAGCCTATTCTCGTGTTTAGCACACTATAGAAATGCTTTCCTGTAGTTAGCCTAAATCTGTTGTCCTATTTCTTGGCTGTAGTAGAGATGAAGAATAACTAGTCGTTAGCTTTTTTTTTTTTTTTTTTTTTTTTTGAGACAGTCTTCACTCTGTCACCCAGTCTGGAATGCAGTCGTGCAATCTCAGCTCACTACAGCCCCAACTTCAAGCCATCCTTCCGCCTCAGCCTCCTAGGTAGCTGGGATTACAGGTGCGTGCCACCACACCCGTCTAATTTTTGTATTTTTAATAGAGATGGGGTTTCACCATGTTGCCAAGGCTGGTCTCAAACTCCTGCACTCAAGCGATCATCCCACCTCTGCCTCCCATATCGCTGGGACTACAGGTGTGAGCTACCATGCCCGACCAAGTTATTTTATGTAGTTATTTCTACATAAAATGGCTTCAAAATTACTAAGGCCCACATCCTGAATAAATGACTTTTATTTGAAGTTAGCATTTTCTAATTCTCTGGTCACGTGTGTAACTCGCTTGTGGCCATGATGCTGCTCTTTAGAAATCCAGGATTGGACAAGGTCTAATATGGTCCTTTTATTTTTGGGTCTCAACTTTTATGTTTTTAAAATTATAGTATGCTGCATTGCCTTTGATCAAAGCAACAAGCAGTAATATATTATTTCTTTTGAGTCAGAGTATTATTGAGACATGCTGACTATATTGAAGTTTTTTAGAAAATTGGGCTGGAGGGAAAGTGAAAATCTGTAGTTTTACATGTCTATTTAATTTTCACTTTGTTATTTCCCAAATCATTCAAGAGTCTATTACTTTACCGTACTTTTAATACAGAATTACTACTAACTCTTCAAGCACAATATAAAATTCTGAATGAAAGAACAAAGAAAAGTGAAAAATAGTAAAACAGCATGAAAAATAGAGACTTATTAAAATAAGACAGTAGGAGTGAGATTATTCTTTTACCCATAGGCTAAAATGTCACTTGTTGTTACTTTTTTTCTGTTTTAATGTTTTGAATTTCAGCACTGATGATTTATCTCTATATTAATAGAAAGCTAATTGAAAACAGCTTGCTATATGTTTTTGTTTAGTACTTTGGCTTTATGTAATTTTACCAGCATATGTTTTGCTAAATTCTTAAAATAGTAGTCTAAAATCTACAGTGCATTTTTGTGATTTATATTTACTTTAAAAAGATATATATTTAAAACCATAAATGGCTTAGAGAAATAAAATTATAACTGATCAAATCTTAACATTTAGTTTAAGTAAACTTAATACATTTTATCGTATCTAACAAAAAGTAGTCCCATATTTTTGACAATTCTTTTTTCTTATCAGTTCCTTTTCACAAAAGTAAATATATGGGAAATTATAAGAAAAGCATGTTACTTGACAGGTGGGGATAGTCACCACCATACTCACAAGAACATCTGTGAACACGTTGCTTGAAATTAGATGTTTACATTGAAATTGTTGACTATACGCTTTCTATAAACAAGTATATAGAACCTTGGGTTTCAGTGTCCAAGGACAGTGCTCTAGAGATACGTAGAAGTGAACTATGGCTTGTATTATAACACCTGCTCAATATCTTAAGTTAGTATTGAACTTTAAGAATGAAGTCATGTTTTAGCCTATGTCTGGGGAGCACGGCATAATTTTAGATAATCTTGCCCTCCTCAGAGAGAATGGTAGTCACTGAATCTAACCAGATAATGCTTGGCAAAATGATCTACTCATAACCAAGTAATCACAGCACTTCAGGTGAGAAGCTGGGCTCAGTAACTCATGCCTCTTTACAAAAATCAGATTTATACTTATATGACATGTTTTTACTACCCATGAAGATATTTTAAATGTTTTGGTTGTCCTTGGAGTGGTGTTGCATGAAGCTTTGAGCTTCGTCCTCAGTGTTAGAAAAAGAATGTTTCTAATTGACTAAAGGAAACAATGTTGATTGAGTTACTGAATGAATAATTAAAAAACAGAAATGGAATCCAGTAAATTGTGACCCTCTCATTCTTTTCCTTTCAGCAATGTGATTGTGACCTTAAAAAAAGACACAAACTGACTGTTGCAAGTGAGAAGGGAAAGACATAAATTCCTTTCCAACATTTTCCTATTACTTCTTTGACACTATCATCTTCAGAGTAGACTCAGATATTCCCACCACCAGTGGTTTTTTATTTGTTTATTTGTTTTTATATCAGTGGGCCAAAGCCGTCTATATTTTCCTGAAATTATTATAGCATAGTTAAACTTAGTAGGAAGCTATCAGTTTGGTGTCTTTGTGGTTACTCTTAGATATTTTCTAGTGATTGCAATTGTCTTGTTAACAGCAGGTCTGAAGTGATGATCAAAACTGGAGAAACTGATTGTTATGAGAGTTAAGAAAAACATTAGGAATCTGAGTTAATGAAATAACTCATGATTATCTAAGTTTAATACAAGCACTTGTGTAGTATCAAAGTGAAAAGAAGTTTCCTGTTTTGTATTTAGAGTGTTTTAATTCGATCTTAAAGCATTTAAGCTTCTGCAAAGCATTAATTTTGGCATTCTTTTCATGATAAATGCTATGTGTTTTAGAGAAATCAATATTCAAATTTGCTTCAAAGAATTCATGAAGAGAAACATAATGAAATCTTGATATATTATATACAAAAGACAACCCCTGATCATTTCTTTTTATGCAAATGAGTTTGATTTAGACATAATTCCCCAACATCACCATGAATTTCCATCTGTGTAACCCTGATGTTCTTAAGCAGTCTGCAGTTACCTCATGCTCTGGGCTATATTCATTCTCCATGTATGGAAACTGTGACTATCTTAACACTTTAGATGATGATATGAATAACAATTGTTTGTTGATCTTATTCTCTATCTCCCTGGATAACCTGCTGTCTGCAAAGGCTGAATAAGTGGCAGATAGCTTTTGTCATCCCTTATCCAAGCTGTACACTTGTAAGGAAGAGCAGGGATAATCGCCTCAATCTAATTAGGGGTTAAAAGAGGCCATGACTGTGATGTGACAGTGAGACACCTTACTGTAGCAATCCTGTTTGCATTAGAAAAATAAGGTTGTCATATTGATTATTCAAATTGGTTTGTATCAGCCAAGTCTCAATGGCTTGTATTGCAGCTGAAGCAGTTGAAGATCCCAGCTATTCACAAGAAGACCTGTGCTATAGCATATATTATATTGTGGCTTGTTTGATAATTTGGGGTTTTAGTAATGAAGACAGAGTTTAATCGGGAGATTTAAAGGTTAAACTGATAATCAGAAACTGAAGTTTAGCTTCCACCTTGTGATAGCAATGATTATGTAAATTTTGTAGTGATATTTTAGGTCTCTAACTGAAGATATATAAAAAACATTATTTAGAACTTCTTTAGTCATTTGATGATTCATGTTTTGATGGTTAGATGTTACAAAAAAGGTAATTGATATTAGTGATGGTTTAATGATATCATTGAAATGAATGAGACTTTATTGGAACTTATATAGGAAATTATTGGTCTTAGTATAGTTTTTGTTGTTCTTCCTCATATTTTTTTTAAAAAGGATATATAACTTATAGGCAGAGGCTGACATTTGTCTCTTCTGTCTTTCTGTTGCCCTCCCCAATCCTCTTCTCCCTGTTCCTCTTTTCTTCACTTAAATATTTTGGTCTTTGTATATATTCTTCGAACTGAAATAATCATGGTGACAAATAGAAACAAACGAAGATTTTTTATTGTACAAATCTTTAATCACTCTTTCTTAAATGTCCTAGTTAGTCGTGAGTCCATTTAACTGTAAGTTCCTATGCATGGATGGCCTATATTTTGATATGTATATTCAGTCTCTGTAGACATTGAATACTTTTTAATGAAACCTCTGTTATAGAACCAATATAGCCAATCACAGTTTCCATACATGCAAGGTGAATATAGCCCAGAGCATGAGGTAACTGCCGACTGCTTAAGAACAGCAGGGTTACACAGATGGAAATTCATGGTGATGTTGGGGGAATTATGTTTAAATCAAACATAATATAATAGCCACCACCCAGTAGTAGTGAGCGATTTTTCTTTTGAGTTTTGTTTTTTCCATTCTGAGTGTCACTATGATGCATAGAGTTGTTTTTATTTAGTTTTTAAACTAATGAACTCATTAGTTTAAAAATGATTTTTTACATTCTGTCCCAGTCTCAGGTTGAACATTGTTTGTCCTAGAGTCTGGAATCAGCCACTTATGCAAATAACCCTGATTACTTTTGGTCAGAAATGATATTTAGAGATCAGAATATGATGCCAGTAGTACAAGGGATGCCGTTGCTTTAGTTCAGTGGACATTAGTAGAAAAATATTATTTCACTGAATCTAAGATGTGGTCAATTATAGTTATATGTGTTACTAGGAAAGAAAAAAACAGTGCCAATTAATTTTAAGACCCCAGCTAATGCAAGATGCATCTTTATTTCAGATATGTTAGGATACAAATAGAATACAAAATGTGCATATGCTATGGCATATGTCATACAAAATGATGAGTTCATATATATTTTAAACTGAAACTTAACACTACAGAATTTTTACTTAAGATTAAATGTTTACATATAATTTTTCTCCTTCAGTGAATGTCTGTATTTCTTCTAATAACAAACATTAACATAGTTATATATTTGCTTTGTTGCATGGTATGTATAAAATGGTTTTTAAAATAATGTTTTTCAGTTTATAAACAAGATGCAAAAAGTATAAATAGAACTTTAGCAAATAATCCAGCAATTAGAAAAATAAACCAGGCCAGGGGCGGTGGCTCATGCCTATCATCCCAGCACTTTGGGAGGCCAAGGTAGGTGGATCTTGAGGTCAGGAGTTTGAGACCAGCCTGGCCAACATGGTGAAACCCTGCATCTACTAAAAATATAAAAATTAGCCGGGTATGGTGGTGTATGTCTATAATCCCAGCTACTCAGGAGGCTGAGGCATGAGAACTCCATGAACTCAGGAGGCGGAGGTTGCAGTGAGCTGAGATTGTGCCCTTGCACTCCAGCCTGGGTGACAGAGTGACAGTCTTGTCTCAAAAAAAAAAAAGGAAGAAGAAAAATAAACCCAGAGTTATCTGTGATGTATTGGAGGAATACAAAGGTAATTCAATATTGTGAAATTTGTTAATATAATTAATTGTAGTAATAGTTCAAGAGAGTTTGTCTACCCTTCTCATTTGTTATTTTTGATTATATAATTTAGAGTTAAAATCCAGTTTAGTGCTATTATGTGATTTTTAAAATAAAGGTACGTCTTTATTGAGGTGTAATTTACTTGTGGTGAAATGCACAGATCTTACATATAGAATTCAGTCAGTTTTAACATTCATTCGTGTAACCCACACCTTATCTCTTTTAAAAGTTTGTTTGTGCTTTTCTTTGCAGTCAGTCCTGGCCCCCAGCATCCAGAAGCAACAACTGCTCTGATTTCACTTACAATAGATTAGTTCTAGAACTTCATATAAATGGAATCATAGAGTATATATGCTTTTCCATCTGGCTTTTTTTGCTCAGCATAATGTTTGAGATTTATCCATGTTGCATGCTGTTGCATGTATTGGTAGTTTATTCCTTTTATTGATGAGTAGTATTCCATTGAATGAATGAACCACAATTTATTCTCCTATTGAAGATGGGAAAAGTCAAATAAAATATGTAGAGATGTTGTATTTGGGAAAGAAAGAATTGCTATCCCTGCAGACTGGGTGGTCTTGCATATGTCCAAACAACAAAGAGGAGGTTGGGGGTTTTATAAAAAGAAGAGATGTTATGTATTGTTTCTCCAGAAAGTTCATTGGCAGTAGTAAAGTTACGGGGAGCTGCCAGTCTCTGATTGGTGAATGATGGTAGTGGATAAAACTAGTCTTAGAATTGCAGCAGGTTTCAGAAGCCATTAGATAAAACTGGTTTTAGGTTACAGGAGGCAGTTTCAACACTCAGGCTTACCAAGAATTATATTCTTGAAACAACATTATGTGTCAAGCGCTTTATCCCTCTGGCTTCTTGACTCTCTTTCAGTTATGTATGACAAGAATGACCTAAATCTTATGATCAGCTTTGACAAAGGATATTTCAATTATTTTTACTTTGAGGCTATTATGACAAATGCTACCATGGACTGTCTTATACAAGTCTTTGCGGAGAGATGTGTTTAATATCTCATGAGTAAACACCTAACAGTCAGTTTTTGGCTAATGAGAATAAAGCAGCTTTGAACACTTACATACATGTCTCTGGAAGGACATATGTTTTCATTATTTTTGAGTAAATACCTAGCAGTGGAATGGGTGGGTTTGATAGTAAAGGTATGTTTCATTGCTAAATGTTTTTCTACAGTTGTTGTAGTTTATATTCCCATAAGCAATGCATGTTCCAGCAAAAAGTTTCAGGTGTTGCACATCTTCACCAACATTTGGTGTTGTCAGTCCTTTGAATTCCAACTATTCTAATGGATTTGAAGTGGTATTTTGATGTTTAGTTTGCACTTTTCTGACAACTAATGATGTTAAATAGTTTTCAATGTGCTCATTGGCCATTTATATATTTTCCCTTGTATAATAATTGTTCAAGCCTTTTGTCCACTTAAAAAAATGGTTCACCATATCAGCTTAAGGAGATTTTGGGCTGAGTCAATGGGGTTTTCTAAATATACAGTCATGTCATCTGCAGACAGGGACAATTTGACTTCCCCTTTTCCTAATTGAATACCCTTTATTTCTTTCTCTTGCCTGATTGCCCTGGCCAGAACTTCCAACACTATGTTGAATAGGAGTCGTGAGAGAGGGCATTGCTGTCTTGTGCCAGTTTTCAAAGGCTTCCAGTTTTTGCTCATTCAGTATGATATTGGCTGTGGGTTTGTCATAAATAGCTCCTATTATTTTGAGATACGTTTCATCAGCCTAAAATCTCCTTAAGCTGATAAGTAACTTCAGCAAAGTCTCAGGATACAAAATCAATGTGCAAAAATCACAAGCATTCCTATACACCAATAACAGACAAACAGAGAGCAAAATCATGAGTGAACTCCCATTCACAATTGCTGCAAAGAGAGTAAAATACCCAGGAATCCAACTTACAAGGGATGTGAAGGACCTCTTCAAGGAGAACTACAAACCACTGCTCAACGAAATAAAAGAGGACACAAACAAATGAAAGAACATTCCATGCTCATGGATAGAAGAATCAATATCGTGAAAATGGCCACACTGCCCAAGGTAATTTATAGATTCTGTGCCATCCCCATCAAGCTACCAATGACTTTCTTCACAGAATTGGAAAAAACTACTTTAAAGTTCATATGGAACCAAAAAAGAACCCGCATCTCCAAGTCAATCCTAAGCCAAAAGAACAAAGCTGGAGGCATCATGCTACCTGACTTCAAACTATACTACAAGGCTACAGTAACCAAAACAGCATGGTACTGGTACCAAAACAGAGATATAGACCAATGGAGCAGAACAGAGGCCACAGAAATAACACCACATATTTACAACGATCTGATCTTTGACAAACCTGACAAAAACAAGAAATGGGGAAAGGATTCCCTGTTTAATAAATGGTGCTTGGAAAACTGGCTAGCCATATGTAGAAAGCTGAAACTGGTTCCCTTCCTTACACCTTATACAAAAATTAATTCAAGATGGATTGAAGCCTTAAATGTTAGACCTGAAACTATGAAAACCCTAGAAAAAAACAGAGGGAATACCATCCAGGACATAGGCATGGGCAAGGACTTCATGACTAAAACACCAAAAGCAGTGGCAACAAAAGCGGAAATAGACAAATGGGGTCTAATTAAACTAAAGAACTTCTGCACAGCAAAAGAAACTACCATCAGAGTCTACAGGCAACCTACAGAATGGGAGAAATTTTTTGCAATCTACTCGTCTGACAAAAGGCTAATATCCAGAATCTACAAAGCACATAAACAAATTTACAAGAAAAAAAAACCATCAAAAAGTGGGCAAAGGATATGAACAGACACTTCTCAAAATAAGACATTTATACAGCCAACAGACACATGAAAAAATGCTCATCATCACTGGTCATCAGAGAAATGCAAATCAAAACCGCAATGAGATACCATCTTACCCCAGTTAGAATGGCAATCATTAAAAAGTCAGGAAACAACAGGTGCTAGAGAGGATGTGGAGAAATAGAATGCTTTTACACTGTAGGTGGGAGTGTAAATTAGTTCAACCATTGTGTAAGACAGTGTGTCAATTACTCAAGGATCTAGAACTAGAAATGCCATTTGACACCGCAATTCCATTACTGGGTGTATACCCAAAGGATTATAAATCATGCTACTATAAAGACCCATGCACACGTTTATTGCAGCACTATTCACAATAGCAAAGACTTGGAACCAACCCAAATGTCCATCAGAAATAGACTGGATTAAGAAAATGTGGCACATATACACCATGGAATACTGTGCAATGAGAACACTTGGACACAGAGTGGGGAACATCACACACCGGGGCCTGTCATGGGGTGGGGGGCTGGGGGAGGGATAGCATTAGGAGAAATACCCATTGTAAATGATGAGTTAATGGGTACAGCAAACCAACATGGCACATGTATGCCTGTGTAACAAACCTGCATATTGTGCACATGTACCCTAGAACTTAAAGTATTAAAAAAAAATGGTTCACCTTTTCATTATAGGGTACTGGAATTTCTTCTATATTCTGGGTTTAATTCTTTGGTCAGATATGTGTTGTGAATGTTTTCTCCCAGTTTGTGGCTTGCCTATTTATTTTCTTAACAATAAAAGAAAGAATAATAGAAATTTTTAGATGAATAGAAGTTTTACCATTTGAATGTTTAGTGCTTGTGCTTTTTTCTAAAAAGCTTGAATTAGCTTTTCAAGTTCCAAAAAAACAACTTGTTTGTACTTTGATTGGAATTACATCGTATCTGTAGATTTGTTTGGTGGGAACTGATTCCTGTAATATATTTGTCTTTACCATCCATAGGCATACTATAGTCTTCATTTATTTATGAGTTTTAAAATATCTTTATAAAAACCAACTTTTTTCTATAAATATCTTGAATGTATTTTGTTGAATTGTTGCCTGTCTGCCTATTACAGTTATTATTTTTTATCACTCATATCTTTGTCATGTTTTGGATTTGAATGGGAATTCTGCTAATATTTTATCATTGAATATAATTTTGTTCTTGGTTTTTGGTAGTTAACCTTTCCTACTAATAAAGTTTTCTTCAATTCTTAGTTGGGGAAGGATTTTTTAGAAAATTTACATATTTCATATTTATCAAAGATTTTTTTCTATATCAATTGAAATTTTTGTAGTTTTTAAACCCAGGAATGGGGTAAATAATATTAATAGATTTTCTGTTATTAATCTGTCCTGACATTATTGAGATAAACCTGGCTTATTCATGATGTATAATCTTTTTGAATACATTGCTGGATTTGGTTTATTTACTTAATGATTTTTAACAATCTTCCTGGGTGAGATTTACGCGTAATTTTTCTTTCCTGTTCTCTCTTTCCCCAGATTTAGTATAGTAGTCTTCTCCTTATCTGTGGTTTTGCTTTCCAGGATTTCAGTTACCCATGGTCAACAGTGGTCTGAAAATATTAAGTGAAAATTTTCAGTAAATAACAAGTTATAAATTTTAAGTGGCATGCTGTTCTGAGAATTTTGATGAAAATCTTCACTGTCTCACTTTCATTCTCTGTGAATCAACATATTCATGCTGTATGTGCTACCAGCCTGTTAGTTAGTAGCAATCTTACTTATCAGATTGACAGATCACAAGAAGGGTGAATACAATATACAATACAATAAAATAAAATATTTTGAGAGTGAGAAAAATCACATTTTTATAACTTTTATTACAGCATATTATTATAATTGTTCTATTTTCTTATTAGTTATTGTCATTAATCTCTTATGCTACCTAATGTATAAACTAAACTTTATCATAAAGTATGTATATGTATGTATGTATAGGAAAAGACATAGTAATATGTAGGGTTTGATACTATCCATGGTATAGAACACCCTATTTATTACAACAAAGAAATTCTGCCATTAAAAATGCCAGCAGTGGCTGGGCACGGTGGCTCACGCCGGTAATCCCAGCACTTTGGGAAGCCAAGGTGGGTGGATCACTTGAGACCAGGAGTTCGCGACCAGCCTGGCCAATGTGGCAAAACCCCAGCTCTACTAAAAATACAAAAAAAAAGCTGGACATGGTAGCGCGCACCTGTAGTTCCAGCTACTCAGGAGGCTGAGGGATGAGAATTGCTTGAACCCAGGAGGCAGAAGCTGCAGTGAGCTGAGATTATGCTACTGCACTCCAGTAGCACTCTGGCTGGGGACAGAGCAAGACTGTCTCAAAAATATATATATATATTATAAAAATATTTTTTTTAAAAAAGTGTCCATAGTGCCTTATTGAGAAACACCAAGTGTAGACTATTTTTTTTTTCTAAAATCCTGCAGAGCTTAAAATGCTAGTGGACTAATAAAAAATCAGCCGGGTTAAGTGAAAACCCAGAGAATAAGCAAAGCAGTTATGTAAACTAATGTTAAACATGCTGTATCATTTGCAATAAAAGATTTAGTAGTTTATGATGAATGAAAAGGCTGCAGTAGTATCGACTCTTCTAGGTAAATCACTGAAGATGGCTCATAGTTTAGTTTAATCCCTCTTTTTAAAAAGTATCTTGAAAGTCTGTATCTTAAAACCATGATTCAAAAATTTCCCCTTGAATTTAAGCATATCATGCTAATTTTACCTATATAAAAACATTTCTGATGTGTAGTTTATATGTAATAAAATACACCCATTTAAAATATACAATTTAGTGAATTTTTATGGAAGTATATACTCTTAAAATTACCATCACATGATATGAATGTTTCTATCATTCACAGACATTTTCATTCTTTGTTTTTCTTAATTTCCAACCTTTTTTTTTTTTTTTTTTTTTTTTTTAGTTTAGGGGTACATATGCGGAATGTGCAGCTTCATTACATAGTTAAGTGTGTGCCATGGTGATTAGCTGCACAGATCATCTCATCACTTAGGTATTAGGCCCAGCATCCATTGGCTGTTCTTCCTGATGCTGTTTCTCCTGCCACCTCCCATCCTCTACCAGGCCCCAGTTTGTGTTGTTTCCCACCATGTGTCCATGTATTCTCATCATTCAGCTCCCACTTATAAGTGAGAACATGCGATATTTGGTTTTTTGTTCCTGTGTTAGTTTGCTGAGGACAATGACTTCCAGCTCCATCCATGTCCCTGCAAAGGACATGATCTTGTTCCTTTTTATGGCTCTGTAGTATTCCACGGTGTATATCAACCACATTTTCTTTATCCAATCTATCATTGTTGGACATTTAGTTGGATTTCATGTCTTTGCTATTGTGAATAATGCTGTAATGAACACACGTGTGCATGTATCTTTATAATAATGATTTATATTCCTTTGGGTATATACCTAGTAATGTGATTGCTGAGTCAAATGTATTTCTGGTTCTAGGTCTTTCAGGAGTTGCCACACTGTCTTCCACAATGGTTATACTAATTTACACTCCCACCAACACTGTAAAAGTGTTCCTTTTTCTACACAACCTCGCCAGCTTCTGTTTTTGTTTTTTTTTCCCCCCTTTTAATAAGCTATTCTAACTGGTATGAGATGATATCTCATTGTGGTTTTGGTTTGCATTTCTCTAATAATCTGTGATGTTGAGCTTTTTTTCATGTTTGTTGGTCACATATATATCTTCTTTTGAGAAGTGTCTGTTCATGTCCTTTGCCCACTTTTAATGGAGTTGTTTGTTTTTGTGTTGTAAATTTAAGTTCTTTGTAGATGCCGGATATTAGACCCTTGTCAGATGGGTAGATTGCAAAAATTTTCTCCCATTCTGTAGGTTGTCTGTTTACTCTGATGACAATTTCTTTTGCGTGGAGAAGCTCTTTAGTTTTATCAGATTCCCTATGTCAATTTTTGCTTTTGTTGCAATTGTTTTTGGTGTCTTTGTCATGAAATCTTTGCCCATGCCTATGTCCTGAATGGTATCACCTAGGTTTTCTTCTGAAGTTTTTATAGTTTCGGGTTTTACATTTAAGTCTTTAATCTACCTTGGGATGATTTTTGTATATGGTGTAAAGAAGGGGTCCCATTTCAGTTTTTTGCATATGGCTAGCCAGTTCTCCCAGCACCATTTATTAAATAGGGAATCCTTTCCCCATTGCTTGTTTTTGTCAGGTTTGTCAGAGATCAGATGGTGGTAGGTGTGTGGTCTTTCTGGGTTTTCTCTTCTCTTCCATTGGTCTGTGTGTCTGTTTTTGTAACAGTACCATGCTATTTTGGTTACTGTAGCCTTGTAGTATAATTTGAAGACAGGTAGCATGATGCCTCCAGCTTTGTTCTTTTTGCTTAGGATTGCCTTGGCTATTGCAGCTTTTTTTGCTTCCATATTAGTTTTAAAATAGTTTTTTCTAATTCTGTGATGAATGTCAGTGGTAGTTTGATAGCAATAGCACTGAATCTATAAATTGCTTTGGGCAGTATGGCCATTTTAACAATATTGATTCTATCCATGAGCATGGAGTGTTTTTCCATTTGTTTGTGTCATGTCTGATTTCTTTGAGCACTGGTTCTTAGTTCTCTTTCAAGAGGTACTTCACCTCCCTTGTTAGCTGTATTCCTAGGTATTTTATTCCTTTTGTGACAATTGTGAATGGGAATTCATTCATGATTTGGCTCTTGGCTTGCCTGTTATTGACGTAGAGGAATGCTAGTGATTTTTGCACATTGATTTTGTATCCTGAGACTTTGCTGAAGTTTCTTATCAGCTTAAGCTTTTGGGCTGAGACTATGGTTTTTTTTTTTTTTTTTAATATACAGGATTATGTCATCTGCAAGCAAAGATAGTTTGAGTTCCTTTCTAGCTATTTGAAGTGGGGTTTTTTTTTATATATAGGATTACACCATCTGCAAGCAAAGATAGCTTGAGTTCCTCTCTATCTATTTGAATGTCCTGTATTTCTTTCCCTTGTCGGATAATCCTGGCCAGAACTTCCAATACTATGTTGAATAGGAGTGGTGAGAGAGGGCATCGTCTTGTGCCAGTTTTCAAAGGAAATGCTTCCAGCTTTTGCCCATTCAGTTGATATTGGCAATAGGTTTGTCACATATGGCTTTTATTATTTTGAAGTATGTTTCTTCAATACTTAATTTACTGAGACTTTTCAACATGAAGGGATGTTGAATTTTATTAGAGGCCTTCTCTGCATCTATTGAGATAATCATGTGGTTTTTGTCTTTAGTTCTGCATATGTGATTAATTTCATTTACTGCTTTGCATATGTTGAACCAGCCTTGCATGCCAGGGATGAAGCCTGCTTGATCGTGGTGGATAAGCTTTTTGATGTGCTGCTAGATTCAGTTTTCCAGCATGTTGTTGAGCATTTTTGCATCAATGTTCATCAAGGATATTGGCCTGAAGTTTTCTTTTTGTTTTGTTATATCTCTGCCAGGTTTCAGTAACAGGATGATGCTGGCCTCATAGAATGAGTTAACAGAGGAGTTCCTTCTTTTCTGTTTTTCATAATAGTTTAAGTAGGAATGGTACCAGCTCTTCTTTCTACCTGTGGTAGAATTCAGCTGTGAATCCATCTGATCCTGGGCTTTTTTGGAGTGGTAGGCTTTTTATTAGTGCTGCAGTTTCAGAACTCATTATTGGTCTGTTCAGAGATTCAAACTCTTACTGGTTCCATCTTTGGACGATATACGTGTTCAAGAATGTATCCATTCTTCCAGATTTTCTCATTTGTATGCATAAAGGTCTTTATAGTATTCTCTGATGGTTGGTTGTATCTATTTTATTAATTTTTTCAAAAAACCAGCTCCTGGATTTGTAGATTTTTCAAAGGTTTTTTTTTTTTTTTCTGTCTCTGTCTCCTTCAGTTCCATTCTGATCTTGGTTATTTCTTGTGTTCTGCTAGCTTTGGGGTTTGTTTTCTCTTGGTCCTCTAGTTCTTTTAGTTATTAATTTGAGATGTTTCTGGCTTTTTGATGTGGGCATTTAGTGCTATAAATTTCCCTCTTAACATTGCTTTAGTTGTGACCCAGAGATTCTGGTATGTTGTATCTTTGGTCTCATTAGTTTCAAAGACATTCTAGATTTCTGCCTTAATTTCGTTATGTACTCAAGAGTCATTTAGGAGCAGGTTGTCCAGCTTCCATGTACTTGTATGGCTTTTAGTGAATTTCTTAATCTTGAATTCTAATTTGATTTTGCTGCGGTCTGAGAGACTGTTATGATTTCAGTTATTTTGCGTTTGCTGAGAAGTGTTTTACTTCCGAATATGTGGTTAATTTTAGAGTAAATGCTGTGTGGTGATGAGAAGAATGTATATTCTGTTGTTTCAGGGTGAAGGAGTTCTATGGATACCTATCAGGTCCACTTATTCCAAAGCTAAGTTAATGTCCTGAATATCTTAGTTAATTTTCTGTCTCTGTGATCTGTCTAATATTGTCAGTGGCTTGTTAAAGTCTCCCATTATTGTTGTGTGGGAGTCTAAATCTCTTTGAAGATCTCTGACCCCTTACTTTATGAATCTGGGTGCTCCTGCATTGGGTGCATATGTATGTAGGATAGTTAGCTCTTTTTGTTAATTGAACCCTTTACCATTATGTAATCTAGAAGGTCTTTGAAATGTAAGAGCATTGTGTAATGCTCTTCTTTGTCTTTTATGATCTTTGTTGGTTTAAAGTTTGTTTTGTCAGAAACTAGGATTCCAACTCCTGCCTTTTGCTGTTTTCCATTTGCTTGGTAAATTTTCCTCCATGCCTTTATTTTGAGCCTGTAATGAGTCTTTTAAATACAGTGTACCAATGGGTCTTGATTCTGTATCCATCTTGCCATTGTGTGTCTTTCATTGGGGCATTTATACCATTTACATTTAAGGATAGCATTGTTCGCCCACTTGCCATAAAAAATGATGAGTTCATGTCCTTTGTAGGGACATGGATGAAGCTGGAAACCATCATTCTCAGCAAACTATCGTTAAGAACAAAAAACCAAACACCGCATGCTCTCACTCATAGGTGGGAATTGAACAATGAGAACACAGGGACACAGGAAGGGGAACATCACACACCAGGGCCTGTTGTGGGGTGCGGGGAGGGGGGAGGGATGGCATTAGGAGATATACCTAATGTTAAATGACGAGTTAATGGGTGCAGCCCACCAACATGGCACATGTATACATATGTAACAAACCTGCACGTTGTGCACATGTACCTTAAAACTTAAAGTATAATAAAAAAAAAAAGGATAGCATTGTTATGTGTAGATTTAATCCTGTCATCATGATGCTAACTGGTTTTTTTGCAGACTTGTTTTTATGGTTACTTAAGTGTGTTTTTGTTGTTGCTGGTAATAGTTTGTCCTTTCCATATGTAGTGTGCTTCCTTCAAGAGCCCTTACAAGGCAGGTCTGGTGGTAATGAATTCTCTCAGCATTTGCTTGTCTGAAGAGGATTTTATATCTTCCTCATTTATGAAGTTTAGTTTGGTCGGATATGAAATTCTGGGTTGGCAATTCTTTTCTTTAAGAATGTTGAATGTTGCCCCCCTATCTTTTCTGGCTTGTAGGGTTTCTGCTGAGAGGTCCACCGATAGTCTCATGGGCTTCCCTTTGTAGATGAACTGGCCTTTCTCTCTGGCTGCCCTTAACATTTTTTCTTCATTTTGAACTTGGATAATCTGATAATTATGTCTTGGGGATGATCTTCTCATGGAGAAGTTCTGTGGGGTTCTCTGCATTTTCTGAATTTGAATGTTGGCCTGTCTTGCTAGGTTGGGGAGTGTCTCCTGGATGATATCCTGAAGTATGTTTTCCAACTTGTTCCATTCTCTCCCTCACTTTCAGGTACCCCAATCATTCATAGATTCAGTCTCTTTACATAATCTTGTATTTCTCGGAGGATTGTTCATTCCTTTTCATTCTTTTTTCTCTATTCTTGTTTGCCTGTCCTTATTCAGAAAGCCAGTCTTCTAGCTCTGAGATTTCTTTCCTCCACTTGGTCCATTCTGCCATTAATACTGTGATTGAATTGTGAGGTTATACTGTGTTTTTCAATTCTAACTGGTCAGTTATGTTCCTCTTTAAACTGGCTGTCAGCTCCTGTATTGTTTTATTCTGATTCTTAGCTTTTTTGCGTTCATTACAACATGCTCCTTTAGCTCAGCAAAGTTTGTTATTATCCATCTTTTGAATCCTACTTCTGTTATTTCAGGCATCTTAGCCTCAGCCCAGTTCTGAGCCCCTGCTGGAGAAATGCTGTGGTCATTTGGAGAAAACGGCAATCTGGCTTTTTGAGTTTTCAGGGTTTTGCACTGATTTCAGGGTTTTGCACTGATTTGCAGGGTTTTGCTCTTCTTTGTGGGCTTATCTACCTTCGATTTTTGAGGTTGCTGACCTTTGGATGGGGTTTTGTGGTTTTTCTTCATTGTTGTTGTGTTTTCTGTTTGTTTATTTTTCTTTTAACAGTCTAGCCTCTCTTCTGTAGGGCTGCTGTGGTCTGCAGGGGATCTGTTTCAGAACCTAGTTGGCTTTGGTTCTTCCTGTACCTGGAGGTATCACCAGTGAAGGCTGCAAAAAACAAAGATGGCAGCCTGCCCCTTCCTCTAGACCCTCCATCCTAGGGCGGCACTGACCTATTGCCATCCTGAATGCACCACTTCCCTTGGCTGTGAGTAGATGTTCCCTTAGCTCTATGTCACTCTCAGGTTGGCCATCGCCCCACCCTGCTTTTCTTCAGTTTTCATGGGTTGTTTCCTAATCAGTACTGTTACACAAACAGACACATAGACCAATGGAAGAGAATAGAGAACCCAGAAATAAGACCACACACCTACCACCCAATGCGACTATCTGGATATTTCAGTTGAAGGTGCTATATCCACTGGCCCCTTTCATTCCTCTTCGAGAGTGCTTAGGAGCACAGTTGCTTCTAATCAGCCATCTTGGCACCCTCCTTCACAGGCATTTTCTCTTGCTCCCTCTGTAGTCCATCTTGCCCTATACCCCAGCTTCAGGCAACCACTAATGTGCCTGCCTAGCCTAGGTTAACTTTTTAAGAAACTGCAAAATAGTTTTCTAAAGGCCTAGTACCACTGTACATAGACAGGAGTCACTGTAAATTACTTTTGTGTGTTTTTTATTTGTGTCTAGCTTTTTTCATTCAGCATTATGATTTTGTGATTCATTCACAATGTTGCATATATCAGCAGTTCCTTTGAATGATAAGTAATATTCTATTCCATAAATGTATCACATTTTGTTTTTTCACTCACCTGTTAATAAACAGTTGAGTTGTTTTCTGTTTTTGACTGTTACTGTTTCCTGTTTTTGACTATTACTGGTAAAACTATTATGAGCATTTATATATAGTTCTTTAAGTAGACATGTTTTTGTTATCTGGAAATTGGATGGCTGACTTGTTTTGTAGGTTTGGATTAACTTTTTTTTTTTTTTGAGACAGAGTCTCACTCTGTCTCCCAGGCTGGAGTGCAGTAATGTGATCTTGGCTCACTGCAACCTCCGCCTCCTGGGTTCAAGCAATTCTCCTGCCTCAGCCTCCTGAGTAGCTGGGATTACAGGCATGTGCCACCACGCCTGGCTAATTTTTGTATTTTTAGTAGAGACAGGGTTTCTCCATGTTGCCAGGGCTGGTCTCAAGCTGTTTGCCTCAAGTGATCCGCCTGCCCAGCTTAGGTTAACTTTTTAAGAAACTGCAAAATAGTTTTCTATAGGCCTAGTACCACTGTACATTGACAGGTGTCAGGTTGCTCCATATACTTACCAATAGTTGGTATTGTTGTTCTTTCTGATTTTAGTCGTTCTGATGGATTTGTAGATGTATTCTACTGTGAGTATAAGTTCCATTTTTCTGATACCTAATAATATTGAGTATCAATTATTTGCTTTTTGGCCACGTGTGTATCTTCTTTTGTGTAGTGTGTCTAGTCAATATTTCTCCTATTTTAAAAAATCATTTTATTGAGGTATAATTAACATTCAGTAAGCTGCATATATTTAAAAGCATGCAATTTTATATGTTTTGATTTACCTGTGAAACCATCACAATTAAGATAGTGAACTTATCCTCCATCACTCCTTTGTAATCACCCCCTACCTCGCATCCACTCTCCCTCCCTCAGGCACCCACTTATTGTCACTGCAGACTAGTTTGCATTCCTAGAGCTTTCTATAAATAAAATCGCTTACAGGATATGTACTTTCTGTCTGGCTTCTTTCACTCTGCATAAGTGTTCTGACACTCATGTTGTTGCAAGTATCACTTCTCTTTGTTGCTGAATAGTATTCTATTAAATATTATGGTTTCTATGAAACAATTTGACTTTTCATTCACCTAGTGAGGGATATTTTGGTTGTTACCAATTTTTGACTATTACAAAACCAGCTGCTGTGAAAATTCATGTATAAGTCTTTGTATGGACGTATTCTTTCATTTCTTTTGACAGTAGAATGTGTAGATCTATGGTACATTTATGCTTCACTTTTTTAAATTAAAAATTTATTTTTATTTTTTTGGGGCACGTAGTAGGTTTATATATTAATGGAGTACATGAGATATTTTGATATAGTATATAAAGCGTAATAATCACATCAGAATAAATGGGGTATCCATCACCTCAAGCATTTACCCTTTTTGTTACAAACAATTCAATTATACTTTTTGTTATTTTTGAATGTGTAATAAATTATTAATTACTGTAGCGATCCTCTTGTGCTATCAAATACTCTTTTTCATTCTATCTATATTTCTGTACCCACTAACCATCCTGACTTCCCCCACCACACCCCACTACCGTTCTCAGCCTCTAGTAAGCATCATTGTACTCTCTCCATGAATTCAATTGTTTTAATTTTTGTCTCCCACAAATAAGTGAGAACATGTGAAGTTTGTCTTTCTGTGCTTGGCTTATTTCACTTAACATAATGACCGCCAGTTCCAGCTGTGTTATTGTAAATTACAGGATCTCATTCATTTTTATGATTATATAGTACTCTATTGTGTATATGTTAGCACGTTTTCTTTATCCATTTCTGTGTTGATGGACACTTAGGTTGTTTCCTAATCTTGGCTATTGTGAATAGTGCTGCAATAAACGTGGGAGTGCAGATGATCTTGATACAAAAATTTCCTTTCTTTTGGTTATATACCTAGCAGTGGGATTACTGGATTATATGGTAGTTCTATTTTTAGTTTTATGAGGAACCTCCACACTGTTCTCCATAGTGGTTGTACTAATTTACACTTTCACCAACAGTGTACAAGGCTACCCTTTTCTTCACATACTCACCAGCATTTGTTATTGTCTGTCTTTTGGATAAAAGCCATTTTAACTGGGGTGAGATAATGTTTTGTTGTAGTTTGGATTTGCTTCTCTCTGATGATCAGTGATGTTGAATGGCTTTTCAAATACCTGTTTGTCACTTGTATGTCTTCCTTTGAGAAACATCCATTCAAGTCTTTTGCCCACTTTTTAAATCAGATCATAATATTTTTTTCATATTGAGGTTATTGAGTTCCTTATATATTCTGGTTATTAATCCCTTGTCACATGGATAGTTTGCAGATATTTTCTTTGGGATGCAGATATTTTCCCAATCTTTGGGATGTCTCTTTACTTTGTTGATTGTTTCCTTTGCTGTGCAGAAGCTTTTTAACTTGATGTAATAACATTTGTCCATGTTTGCTTTGGTTGGCTGTGCTTGTGGGGTATTAGTCAGGAAATCTTTGCCCAGAACAATGTCCTGGAGAGTTTCTCCAATGTTTTCTTGTAGTACTTTCGTAGTTTGAGGTCTTAAATTTAAGTCTTTCATTGATTTTGATTTGGTTTTTGTATATGGTGAGAAATAG